>NW_016107314.1:0-145691 GCF_000001405.40 Homo sapiens | reverse complement strand
CACATGCCTGTAATCCCAGCTACTTTGGAGGCTGAGGCAGGAGAATCAGTTGAACGCGGGAGGCAGAGGTTGCAGTGAGCCGAGATCACACCCTTGCACTCCAGCCTGGGCGACTATGAGTGAAACTCCATCTCAACATAAATAAATAAATAAATAAAGTAAAGTAAAATGGCTTTTATCTGCAAGACAGGCAAAACAAATGCTGGCAAGATGGTAGAGAAAGGAGAACCCTGGTACCCTGTTGGTAGGAATGTAAATTAGTACAACTATTATGGAGAAAAGTATGGAAAATCTTTAAAAAACTAAAAGGAGGCTGGGCATAGTGGCTTATGCCTGTAACTTCAGCACTTTGGGAAACCGAGGCAGGCACCTCACTTGAGGTCAGGAGTTTGAGAGCAGCCTGCCCAAAATTGGGATATCCCGTCTGTGCTAAAAAATACAAGAATTAGTCAGGCATGGTGGCGTGCACCTGTAATCACAGCTATTAGGGAGGCTGAGTCAGGAGAATCGTTTGAACCTAGGAAGCAGAGGTTGCAATGAGCCAAGATCGCACCACTTTGACTCCAGCTTGGACTAAGGAGGGAAACTCTTTCTCAAAAAAGAAAAAAAAAAAAAGAGAACTTTCATAGTGTCCAGCAATTTCACTACTGGGTTTATATCCAAAGGAAAGGACATCAGTGTATCGAAGTGATATCTGCACTCATATGACTGTTCCAGCACTGTTCACAGTAGCCAAGATGTGGAGTCAACCTACCTGCCTATCAGTGGGTGAATGGATAGAGAACTGTAGTACACACACACGGTGGAGACTACTCATCCATAGAAACAATAACATCCTGTCATTTGCAGCCACATGGATGGAACTGGAGGTCATTACAAAGATTCCCATTTCTCACCACATGCAGGAGATAAAAGGTGGATCTCATGAAGGTAGAGAATAGAATGGTGGATACCAGAGGCCAGGAAGGGAAGGGTGGAAGGTAACAAAAAAAAGAATATAGATGTATTTATTTATTTAGAAACAGAGTCTCTCTCTGTCTCCCAGGCTGCAGTGCAGTGGCATGATCTCGGCTCAGTGCAACCTCTGCCTCCTGGCTTTAAGTGCTTCTCCTGCCTCAGCCTCCCAAGTAGCTAGGACTACAGGTGCATGCCGGCATGCTTGGCTAATTTTTCTTGTCTGTTTAGTAAAGATGAATTTCCCGCATGTTGGCCAGGCTGATCTCGAGTCCCTGATCTTAAATGATCCACCTTTCTTGGCCTCTCAAAGCGCCAAGATTACAACCGTGAACCACCACACCCAGCATATAAAGGTATTTATGACCACTAGATTTTACTTTTAAAAATGGTAAAGTTGGTAAATTATATAGTTACATTTAACCTCAATAAATATTTTTGAAAATGAAAAGAAAAGAGTGTAGGGGTTGCTGGTGATGACATCTCTCTGTGTGGGTGAGAGGCCAGGATGGGCTTCTGGGAAATGGGTAAGGTTGAGGGGCTGAGGGAACCTCTGATCTCCCCAAACTGAGCCCAGTCTCCCCTTCTCTGGGTCTGTCCTGACCGCTTTCTCCATCTGCCTGGGTGCCTGGAGCCCTGACCATGGGCCTCCATGCAGGCCATGCAAGAGGGTTTGGAGGTGCCCTGTCTGCCATCCTGCACCCTGACCCCCCCCTCACACCCAGTCTTCGTGTTCTCTCTGCATCTGTCCATGCTTCTCCCCATCATCGGCAGGAAGCTCCTCAGCTATGGCTCTAGGATCATAAGACATGGGACAGACACGGGTTTTCCTCACCTGTGACAGAAACAAGCAGTGGGTCACTTGAGTTTGACCACACGCAGGGCAGGGCACGGAAAGAGCCGAAGCATCTGTAGGTCCCTCCGTGGGTGGCAGGGCCCAGAGGAAAGTCTGCCTGGAATGTTCTGTTGACCTTGGGCACTGCACGGAGCCTACGTTCATGGGCCTCCCCTTCCCTGGACAGATGGTAGATGTCATAGGAGCTCCAGGAGCTACAGGACAAGGTCACGTTCTCTCCTGCCTGAACCGTGGGGCCCGGCTGGGCTGAGAGAGAAGGTTTCTCATATAGACCTGGAAGGAGAAGAGGCAGTTTCCTCAGGGAGGTTCTTCCTTGTCACAGCTCCCCTCATACCTGAGCTGAGAACTCACTCCCCTGCTCTATGACCTAATGCTCTCTCTCTCTCTCACCCTCCACCCCAACTCTCTTCATGTCTATTTCCTCCTTCCGCCTTCTCTGTCTCTCTAGGTCTCTGACCTCACTTCCCCACCCCTGGGTATGCTTTCCCTTTTTGGATTGTTTTATTCTCTCTGACTCTCCTTGGATTGGTTGACTTGATCTTCCTTTTTCTATAATTCTGAGTCTCTCACTTTCTGTCTTGTTCATAACTTTCTGCATATTTCTATCTATTATCTATCTATCTATTTTGTGTCTATCTACAAATTATCTGTCATCTATATCTATGTATCATTTATCTATCAATTGTCTATCTGTCTATCCATCAATCATCTATGTATTATCTGTATCTATGTATCATCTCTCTCTCTCTCTATTACCTCTCTGTCTGCCTGTCAGTCTCTATGTATCATCTATGTATCTATATATTTATATATGTGTCTTCTATCTATCTTCATCATCATCATCATCATCTCTATGTATCATCTATCAATCATCATCTATGTATCTATAACCTATCCATTATCTATCATCTACCTATTTATCATCTATCTATATCTATCTATCCATCTATCATCTGTCTCTCTCCATCTCCTTGTCTTTCTCTGCCTCTCAGTCTCTCTAGTTCTATTTGGAATCTCTGCAATCCATCCCCACATCTTTATCTTTCTCTGTCTTTGTGCCCCTCCCTCAGGGTTCTGATTTTGGGGCTTTTCTCTCCTCCCTTCCAGCATTCTCTCCACTCCTCTGCCCTCTTTTCTTTCTTTTTGTGTGTCTGTGAGTCTCTCAATCCCCTTCCTCTGGCTCATTCTCTGTGTGTTTATGCCTTTGCTTTTTGAAGTCCCTGATTTATCTCTGTGTCTCTCAGTGATCCTATTATATGTAGGATTATTTGGAATATGAGCCTCAGAATCTAGTCTGGGGACACCAAGTACACACAGTATTTAGGGGTTGGTGTTCTGGGGCCATGATATCCTGGGATAATTATGGCTCCACTGCATGGAAGGCAGAGGTGTCAGAATAAACATGGCATCTGTAGATGCCACAAGGCCTGAGGCCACAGGGCCCAACTCAGGTCAGAAATATGGGTGTCCTTGGGTTCTCCTCGTAGAAGCACTTTGTGGAGACAAAACAGAAATGAAACTTCTAACCTGTGCCAGGTCTCTGAGCAAAGTCAGCATGGAAGGACACTTCTCTCTGGCACATGTCTGTCTGTCTGAGTGTCTCCTTTACCTCTTTCTCTCTTTTCTACTTCCCCGTATGGCCCCTGTGTCTGTCCTCTGTTATGACACCTGGTCTGTACTTATGTCTCCTGTTTCCCTGTCTCTGTTGGTACAGACCTCACCGAGTCAGTCTCTCTCCATAAGAATCCCACGCTTATCTTCCTCATGACCACCTGGGGGTTCCAAGTCCTGGATCATTCACTCTGTGTCCCAATGACAATGAGAAGAATGTCTGGACACTCTCACCTGTGATCACGATGTCCAGGGGGTCACTGGGAGCTGACAACTGATAGGGGGAGTGAGGAACAGAACCATAACATCTGTAGGTTCCTGCAAGGACAGGCATCAAGGGACCGATGGAGAAGTTGGCCTTGGAGACCCCATCATGGATCTGTCCAACGAGGCGTGAGGGGTCCTCAGAGATCCCCTCTCTGTGCAGAAAGAAGTGCTCAAACATGACATCTGACCAACATTGCAGGATGACTGTCTCTCCTGATTTCAGCAGGGGCCCTGGGTGGGCCAGGAGGGAAGGTTTTCTGTGGTTTCCTAGAAAGAGAAGTTGTGAGTTTAGAAGGCATCTCTCTTTATCATCCCATCCATGGCACCTGGAATGAGTGAGGGTTCCCCTCCCAGAGGTCTGTCTCTCTCCTCCCTCTCTGTGTCTCCGTGTCTTTTCTGTGCCCATATCCCCTGGTGCAGGTCCCTCCATTTGTCTTCCTCCCTCTTCTCTGTCCCTCTGTCTCCAGTAGCCCCTGACTCCCTTCCCACTGTGAAGAGAGCCTCATCTCTTGGGCTGTTGTATCTCTTTCCCACTAGTCTCTTTCCTGCTGTCTATGTGGGGGTGGAAGAGGACAGGCTGCATGTCCAGGCTCTCAGCAGCCTGAATCAATCTCTTTTGAACAAATTGGAGTCTCTGGCAGAGGTATCAACTCATCAGTAAGGCAGACATCAGTGTCCACACACCCTGTTCCTGATGGGGATTGGGAGCCTCTCCTGCCATGTCTGTGCCTTCTCCATGGCCCCAGCTTCCATAGGGTGGTCCCTGGTGCTGGTTCCAGGAGCATCAACCCCTTCCTATGTGGATGGAGCCTGGTGGTGGCATCAGCATCCCACCCTTGCTGATCCCACGGTAGCCAACCTTCTCCTTGTTTGGTTTCTTTAATTAATTGATTAATTAATTTATTTTTGAGACAGTCACTTTTTCACCCAGGCTGGAGTGCAGTGGTGTTGTCTTGGCTCACTGCAACCTCTGCCTCCCCGGTTCAAGTGATTATCTTGCCTCAGCCTCCCCAGTCGTTGGATTACTCGTGCCCACCACCACACCTGGCTATCCTTGTTTGGTTTCCTAGCTTGTCCTTGACCTGGGTTCCTGTGTCGGTTTCCTGTTGCTGCTGCAGAAAATTATCACAAACATGGCAGCAGGAGAGAACACACTGACCCCTTCCACTTCTGGGGACAGAAATTGGATCCAGTTCTCCCTGTGCTGAAATCAAGGCATCTGCAGGGCTGCGTTCCCTCTGGAGACTCAGCAAATCAGTTCTCTTGACTTCTCCAGCCCTTAGAGGCCACCTGCATTCTGTGACTAGTGGCCTTCCTCCACCTTCAAAGCCCACAGTGGCTGATAGCGTCTCCCTCCCACTACACTGCTCTAATCCCCACTCCCCTCTTCCTCCACCTCTCACGCGGACCCTTGTGATTACACTGAGCCCAGCAGGACAGTCCAGGCTGTCTCCCCATCTCAAGGTCAACTCATCAACAACCTGAGCTCCACCTTCCCCTTCAGTCCCCTGCCCTATAACATAAATAGTCACAGGCTCCAGGGTTTACAATGTAGCCATCATTGGCGACAGTTATTCTTCCCACCACAGCACCCATTTCCCCTGTATTCAATCTCCCTTGACCCCAAATACAGTTGGGGCCTGGGTGATGGGACCCTGATGGACACCCCCACCAGAAGCTCTGGGATTCAGGAGGTGGGACAGTGAGAAGCCCAGACAGAAAGCCTCTGACCTGTGACCATGATCACCAGGGGGTTGCTGGGTGCCGACCACCCAGTGAGGGAGTGTGGGCGTGAACCCCGACATCTGTAGGTCCCTGCATGTGCTGGGGTCACAGGGCCCATGATGAAGCTCTCCTGGAATATTCTGCCGTGGAAGATGGGAACGTGGCTTCTGTCTTCTTTGTACAGCATGAAATTGTTAAACCCACGACGATAGTGACACTGAAGAGCCACGTGTCCTCCTCGAGGCACCACAGTGCTGGGCCGGGCAGACAGGAAGGGTTTGTCCTGACCACCTGGGGGAGAAGGAGGCACTGCCTTAGAGAGGAGGATGTGGAGCCACCCCTCCCTCCCTGTGCTCAGAAGATTCTCCCATTTCCGCTTTCTAAGGCTCCTACCACACCTGGGTGCCCAGGGCTACAGGAAGGACCCACCCCACATAGACATGGCGTCTCCCTACAACAAGTGTCAGCTGAGAACTTTGAGCAAGTGCTGAATAAGTGACTCTTACTAGATTTTAATACTGCAAAATTACTCACATAAAACAACACAAAGTAGACACGGCATGGAGGGCATGTCCTATGTGAATGGAATATCAGCCAATTCATGAACTGAGCCCCCTCAGAGGATTTGGAATGTCAGGGCCATGGCTGTGGTTTCCCCCCTCTTCTGGTAGAAAGACCGCAGCCACACTGCAGCCCCTACCGTCACGGAAACGCTGGAGGGTGTCAGTTATACCTTTGTCCTCAGAGGACCTGCTGTTCCTAGCACTGCTTCCCTCTCTTTCTCTGCTGCTGACACCACTTCCTCCCTGCACACCCCAGCTTGGAGCACCCCAGTCTCACCCCAGTCTTCACAGAGCTTGACTCAGGAAAGGGAAAGAAAGGCCAGGGAGGGCGAGGTCAGAAATGTGGGCCGAGTATCCAAGGGTCCCCTCTTCCTAGTTTATGAGAGACTCCCCGACAGGACTTCCCTCCTGTTTCAGAAAAATCCTCTTATGTGGGGAGATGACACCCTAAGGTTTGGGGACGGACTCACCCATGAGTGGCCAGGCCCCCTGCAGCAAGAAGAACCCTGGAAAGAAAGATCATGATAGACGATCCAACTGCAGGCAAACCAGGGCACCCTGCTGCCCCCACTGCACTGTGTGTCTTGGCAGCCAGGCCCTTGCTGGGCTGAAGGTAAACTTAGCCTCCCTGCTACCTGCTGCCAAGAACAGGGCTCTCAGCTGTGGAGAGACCCAGGCTCCAGGCCCAGATCAACACTTCCTGGCCCAGATCTCCACTCCAGGCCCATATCTCCACTCCAGGCCCCTATCTCCACTCCAGGCCCATATCTCCACTCCAGGCCCATATCTCCACATCAGACCCATATCTCCACTCCAGGCCCAGATCTCCCCTCTAGGCCCATATCTCCACTCCAGGCCCATATCTCCACTCCAGGCCCATATCTCCACATCAGACCCATATCTCCACTCCAGGCCCATATCTCCACTCCAGGCCCAGATCTCCACCTGCAGGCCCATATCTCCACTCCAGGCCCATATCTCCACTCCAGGCCCGTATCTCCACTCCAGGCCCATATCTCCACACCCAGGCCCATATCTCCCCTCCAGGCCCATATCTCCACTCCAGGCCCATATTTACACCTCCAGGCCCATATCTCCACACCCAGGCCCATATCTCCACTCCAGGCCCATATCTCCACTCCAGGCCCATATCTTTACCTCTAGGCCGAGATCTCCATCCCCACTCTCCCTCCCTCTATTCCCTTCCAGGACTCACCAACGCACGCCATGCTGACGACCGTGAGCGACATGGTGCTGCCGGTGCAGACAGGAGGCCGCGCCCCAGCTCAGCTCAGCAGCGCACAGGATGTTATTTGGCGCCCTGCCCATGCAGTTTACATGTTGACCACATCATGGGAGGGTGACGTACGCAGGCTCTTTCTACCTTGCATGAGGCCCAGTGGGTGCTCGCTCAAGAGCGGAACATGGCTTCCTGGAAATTGTTGTGACTACAATTGCCACCTTGCATCCTTCACTATGACCAGACTCAAAAGACGTCTCAGATCCAACCTCTCACACATGAGGTGATTGAATTCTGTGCTTACATTAAAGACTTTTGATGTATTTTTGTTTTTATCTGAGATTCAAACTTTTCTTCATGTGTAATGTGCAAAATATCTAAGAGGTATTATTAACATTATCAGAGTAATTGTGACAAAAAGCCATTCTAATTTTCCTGATGAGTTTCTAGTACTAAACCTGAGGCACGAGAATTGCTTGAACCTGGGAGGCGGAGGCTGCAGTGAGCTGAGCTCAAGCCACTGAACTCCAGCTTGGGTGACAGAGGAAGAGTCTGTCTCAAGAAAGAAAAAAAAAAGCAAACTAAATAACCTATAATAACAAATCAGAGAACTCAGGTTACCAAATTTTAAGGGGTTCTATAAGTTTATATGAAATGCAGCATCCTCATGAGAGGGGATACAGAGAACCACTGGGCAGAAAACTGTGTCTAAAATACATCTGTGGATACACAGTCCCTTTATAGTTGACAAAGGCTGCCATGTAGTTTAAGGTGGAATAGAATATTTTCTCAACAAATAACACAGGACCATAGGGTTACACGTAGGAAAAAATAAATCTAAACTTATCCTCACACTATAAAGACACTTCTTATTTTTTATCTTGTTGTTGTAAACTTTTTATGCTTTATTTTTAAGATTGACAAATAAAAATTATATACTGTGGTCCTTCACTATTCCTGGGTGATTGGTTCCAGGATCCCCATTCAGATACCAAAATCTGCAGATGCTCAAGCCCCTTGCATGAAATGGCATAGCGAAGCTGGGCACCGTGGCTCACGCCTGTAATCCCAGCACTTTGGGAGGCTGAGTTGGGTAGATCACGAGGTCAGGAGTTCAAGACCAGCTGGTCCAACATTCTGAAACCCCGTCTCTACTAAAAATACACACACAAAAAAATTTATCTGTGCATGGTGGCACGTGCCTGTAATCCTAGGGGAGGCTACTGGGGAGGCTGAGGGAAGACAATCGCTTGAACCTGGGAGGCGGAGGTTGCAGTGAGCTGAGATCATGCCACTGCACTCCAGCCTGGGTGAGAGAGTGAGACTGTCTCAAAAAAAAAAAAAAAATAGCATAGCAATTGCATAGAACCCATGCACATCCTCCTGTATACATGAAATCATCCCTTGATTACTTATAATTCCTGACACAGCCTACACGCCACTCAATTTGTGTCGATTCAACATAGTTTTTTGCTTCTTGAAACTTCGGGGATTTTTTTCTGAAAATATTTTTGATTTATTGTTGGTTCAATAAACACCTGTAAACCCCACAGATATGGAGGACCGACTGTATATTTATATTATGAAAGATGATATGTTGATATGTGTCCCCGTGGAGATGAGACTAACAAGGCCTATGACTCTACAAATGTTTCATCGTGGAATGACTCTGCCAGCTTTCCAGGTCTGCAGAGAGTAAGAATATCACTTGTTCATGTGATTCACGATCCTTGGAGCCTCCTATGTGCTGTATCTTTGGATGGAAATTGGAGTCTCAGAGACAAATCAGGCTCCATTCTGCTTCCAGAAGCTCAGAGTCCAGGGCTGAGAACCCAATGGAGAACAGATGGGGTTATGTGGACATGGTAATGATAACACCGGAAGCCTTAGGCAAGAAAAGAGTCTCGTTACCGAAACCATGAGGGCAGACATGTTTATTTGAAGGCGGGAAAACTACATTGAAATTATTTAAAAAATTTATAAGTTTTACTGCTGGCAGAAGGCTGAAAGATAGTCTGAAGGGAGGTGGAACAGCACGTGTCTAAGTGCTGTGTTAAGAGGCAGCCTCTTGTATGTTTGGAATTGTGAGTTCCTCAGTGTGATTGCAGCCTCAGGTAGACTAGGAAGTAAGCCAGTTAGGTTGGAGAGGTGGGCAGGGGTCAAGTGAAATGGAGAATTGTGGGCTAAGCAAAGGAGTGTGTTTTCTCTCCAGCAGGCAGTGGGGACCTTAGACATTTGTAAGCAAGAGAGAGGCATGTTCAGATTCGTGGTGTGAGGAAGAGCGATGCCCTAAGATGAAGACTGATGCCTTCAGATTCCAGCTGCTGGTACATGGGAGCTGGCAACCCGGTTTTGAGACAGGGCTGTTGTCTCCCTAGAAGATCCCCTCAAGGCCTGACTGTGGTGCTCGTGGACAGAAGACAACTTTGGATCTGGGCTCAGCATTTGGAAGTTCTATGTACATGCTGGTATCTGTTGGGGGTGTCTTGGGCCTCTCAGAAGGGCGAGTGATTTTTCTCTGTGTGAAAACACAGTGATCCAATTATGCGTATGACACCTCCTGATGGTCTTGTTCATCAGAATCCTGGAGAGAGGGAAATGCTGAGTGAGGGAGGGTGCTCACATTTTTCAGGACTCTTTGGGAATAAGACTAGCCACGAGGCTGGGCGGAGGAGCACCTACCTCGCTGTTCACTGTTCTGTTCCCTGCAGGCTCTTGGTCCATTACAGCAGCATCTGTAGAAGACGGAAGTCAACAAAAGAGCTCGGAGGGCACTTCTGGGTCCTCATTTCATAAGCAGATACCAACAAACAGGGGGAGGCCATAGGTGCCTGAGGTCCCTCAGTTGCCAACAGCAGACTCAGACATTCTATCTCTCTGAGTTCAAGGACCCATCCCATGAATAGCTCTGAGGTCCCATCCCATTGATTCTATCTCCCACTTTCTGCCTGTCATGGAACCTTCTCCTGGATGTGAGTGGCTGCAGGGGACGTGAGGATACAGTTCAGAATCAGGCAATGGTCTGTGAGCTGAAGGCAGGGGAAGGGAATCTGGTGCTCTCTCTAGAAAGTCCTGCCTCTGTGGCTCCTGTCTTGGGCCAGGGACCATCCTGCTGGTGAGGAACACACATCCGCGTGCTCCCATCCTGCTTCCCCACATGGCCCTGAGCTCTCTGGCCTCTGCTTCGTGAGACTTACTTTTTTTGTCGGAGCACCAGCGATGAAGGAGAAAGAAGAGGAGGATGGTGAAAGGGATTTTGACCACTGAGGTCCCAATCAGAACATGTAGGTGTCTGGGGTTACCTGGAAGAAGAGGAGACACCAATAAGAAGCTAATCATAGCAGTTCCTCTTTATGAATTGTCTCGCATTTCTTGATTGGCAGGTAACCACATACAACGTCTCTTTAGGACAAGCACCCAAATGGCGGGAGACCTAGCTTTCCCCTGCTTTCTCAATTATAGCTCTCATAGTAACCATAGAACGTGCTGAGGATACAACTACTTTAGTTGAGATGTTTGACCCTTTCAAACCTCACATTGAAATTTCACCCCCATTGTGGGAGGTTGGGCCTCTTCAGAGGTGTTTGGGTCATGGAGGTGGATCCATCATGAACAGATCAATGCTGTCCCAAGGAGACGGGGTTAGCAAGTTCCCCCTCTGTTAGTTCCTGGAGAGCTGGTTGTTAAAAAGAGCTTGGAAGCTCCATCGCTCCCTCTCCCCCTTACTCTCTCTCTTGCCGTGTGATCTCTGCGGTCTCTGCACAGACAGACCCTCCTTCCCTTCTGCCAGAGTGGGAGCAGCCTGAGGCCGTCACGAGAAATAGATTCTGGTGCCATGCTTCCAGTACAGCCTGCAGAACTGTGAGGCAAACCAATCTCTTTTCTTTAGAAGTTACCCAGGCTCAAGTGTTCCTTTAGAGCAACAAAAATGGACTAAGATAGCAACATCCTGAGATCAGGAGGAATGTCTCAGAACAGCCTGGGCTGTCTTCCTGTTCTTCCTGGAGGAGGACGTCATGCAGTGCTTTAGCTGAGTGCTTCCTGTGGCTCCAGGGTACAAAACCCAGGCTGGGCTGCTTTCTGGCTTCCCGCAGCTACACTGCAAATGGGGTGACTCCATATGTCCCGAGCAGCTTTTCTGAGCCTTGAGGGACTGGCTCACATTGAAATGCAGGCTTCTGTTGTCACTCGCTGCTTATCTGTTAGTAATGAACCTGCCTATGTAACGTATTCTCTGTGTGTTCTGTCTCCCTGGAGTGACGGTGAGTGATAGGAATTGGCATAGGCCCAGGTGCAGTCCAGGATTTGTTTAGAGTCTTCTCTGGGAAGACTGCACTGGGATTGATACACAGCGAATGTGCTTTAGGATTTCTACATCCACAGCATTCTTGAGTCAAACAAATTGCATTCACCAAGGAAAGGAAACAAAGGTGAAATCACGATTAAAAATAGCGAAGCAAGATTCTCTTATGTCAAACAGCCAGGAAATAGTGTTGAAGCCCGTGTGAAATGTGCTACTCTTTGTGATCTCGGGAGACACATGTTAGGCTGCTGTTCTACCCGAGAGGCTGGGGGAAGGACCACCCCCTCGACCATCTATTGCTTCAATACCACCTGTCCTCCTGTGAATTAGTAGGAAAGGGGAACAGGAGCTAGTGCTGTCGCTGATCTCTGATTCCAAGATCTGGACTCACTCCAAGGAGTATTAATGTTTCCTCCCCATGGTCTATCTGAATCTCCACAGGTGATTGGAAGTAGGGGTGAGGTGGGGGATTTGGGTGAGTGGGCAAGTTTTTTTTTGCGATGACCAGAGCACTTTCTCTATTCCAGGATCCGTGCTGGAGGATTCAGCGGGCTTTCACATTTTCTATGTGATCTCATGCTCACAGAAAGCCAAATAGGGAAGAGGTTTTAGGCTCATTGCCTAATGGATAAGATAAAGGATCAAAGAAGTAATTATAGAGAAATAGAAAAATGATGATTGGAATTCAGGTGCCTTTGTCATTCGTGTGTGTTTTATTATATTTATGCATTTCTTATTTTTATTTTTTGAGACGGAGTCTCCTTGTGTCACCCAGGCTGGAGTGCAGTGATGCAATCTCCACTCACTGCAACCTCCACCTCCTGGGTTGAAGTCATTCTCCTGCTTCATCCTCCAGAGTAGGAGCTGGGATTACAGGGATGCACCACCATGCTCGGCTAATTTTTGTATTTTTAGTACAGATAGGGTTTCACCATGTTGGCCAGGCTGGTCTGGAACTCCTGACTTCATGGAATCCACCCGCCTTGGCCTCCTGCAGGGCTGGGTTACAAGCATGAGCCACCGTTCACAGACTTGTATATTATGCTATAATAGGTCCCTTCATTTCCACCACCCCTCATATATCTGTCACTCCTTTGCCAGGTATTGATTTATGTGTAGGATGAATAAATCTCAGAAAGAAATTAATTAAGCGAGGATTAAACAAGTAGGAAAATCAAACCCAGCAAGCCTTTCCAGCCAATGATTCTACCTCACAAGCATATCTTATATCCATCTACTTCATTCATTTAGTGTCTAAATCAGCACCACATTTCACCAGTGGGGCGGCAATTGCCTTTTCCACAGTCTCCTAGATTCCAGTTACGCACCTGGGCCTCCCTTATTTTCTTGTCAGTCACTATTAATCATGTAGGGATTCCTGGTTACCCCGAGGTGAATCCAATGGCTGTGAGTGTCAAACACACACTCCTTGTTCCTCCTTAGTTTCCTGTGTACCCAGAGTGCTCTCCATCTCTCTACAGTCATCTTGTCATTCTCCCCACCTCATTCCCAGCATTTCAGGCAGAGCCTCTTCCTTCAACATCAGATTGTTTTCACCTTTGTGCCTTCACAGCTGACAGCTGTGTGTGGAAAATCCTTCCGCCAATCTTTCAGGGGTTCAATCCGTGTTTTTCATTAATGTCACAAATATCTGATTAGTGAGACCTTCTCTGTCACCCAAAATTATACACTCAGCATTATCTATTATTTATTTTGAATTCTGGCTGGGCAAAGTGGCTCACGCCTGTAATCCCAGTACTTTGGGTTGCTGAGATGGTCGGATCACTTGAGGTTGGGAGTTTCAGACAAGCTTGGCCAACATGGTGAAACATCCTCTCTACAAAAAATATACAAAAAGAATTAGCCGGGCATGGTGGCAGTTGCCTGTAATCCCAGCTACTCGAGAGGGTGAGGCAGGAGAATCACTTGGATCCAGGAGACGCAGGTTGCAGTGAGCCAAGATCGTGACACTGCACTGTAGCCTGGAAGACAGAGGGAGACTCTGTCTCAATAAACAAACGAACGAACAAACAAATAGATTTCATGCACAGATGCTTCCCAATGGATCATTCATTTATTGGTCCACTTGTGCATTCATTTTCTGTCCTCCCATTTAACCATCTGCAATATCAGTGTCCCAAGAGCAGAGGCCAAATGCATCTTGTTCACCATTTGTGGAAGGCAGGAGAATGCTGTCCCACCCCAAAATGTCCCTGTCCTAGCCTCCATAGCTTGTGAATATGTTATTTTACATGGAAAGGAGGAATGAAGATTGCAGATGGAATTATGGTTGCTAATCAGCTGAACTTAAAACAAGGGTATCCTGAATGATTTCCGGGAGATTATGACGGATTTTCATCTTGGTGAACCCAATAGAATCCCCAAGTTTTCAAAAGATGAGGAAGAAGGGAGAGCAGCATTCAGAGAAAGAGGTGTGGTAAGGAAGAAGGGTCTGAGTGATGCCATGTGAGATGTGACCAGTCTTTGTGGGTTTTGAGGAAGGAGGAAAGGGACCAGCAGCCAAGGAACTGGGAGCCTTTATAAGATGGGACAAGTGAGAAGCAGATTCTTGCCTGGAATCCTCAGAGGGAAGGCAGGCTTGCTGTCATCTTGATTTTAGCCCAGTGAGATGCACTTCATGCTTTGAGCTAGAGCACTGTAAGATAATTAAATAACCGTTTTGTTTTCACCCACGAATCTTGTGGAAATTTGTTATGGCAACAATAGGAAAAGCTTCCACACTGCACAACCTGAGCATGGGGCCGTGGCTGAATAAGTCAGTGAGTCAAAGTGTGCGTGCATGAGCTCTGTTCTCTGTTACGGCAAGGCTCTTGCTCTGCTGAGTCAGCCAGGGTTGTTTCATGACCAACAGGAGCTCATTCCTTGGCAAGTGGAACTTCTCTAAAACACCTCGCCCTCATCAGATGTTCGCTTCCCTTCCCTCTCTCAAGCCCCCAGGAATTTATCCTCCAGTTAGGAATGCAAGCAGAACAAACATTGCGTTTTTCCTGAGAAGGATGTCAGATTGGCAATCATTCTTCTAGCTTGTAGGAGGTCTCAGCTCCATAAAATGAGAGATGAAGAGATTTCACTGAGCCCTGTGTTGGGCCCAGATCCCTTTCGCTGTTGGAGTATCTGGAGTTCGGAGATGGTAGAAGACAGGCGTACAATGTCAGAGCTGTGAGATGCTGAGTCAACGCCTGAATCCAAGGTTTCCACCTCCCCAGGGTTCCAAAAGCGGATATAAGAGGGTCCTGTACTCACCGGTTTTGGAGCTTGGTTCAGTGGGTGAAGGCCAACTATTTGAAGGGTTTCCTAGAACATGAGACAGGAGAGAGGTGAGGAAATGAGGGTGTCTGTCCTCTACTCAGTGGAAATCTTTGAGTTTGGTTCATGGCCAACACTCTGTTATCTAACATTGGGCCCTGGGAGTCCAGGGATCCTTTCTTCCATAATTTTTGTATGTGACGCCCACTGTCTTGAGACTTCAAGGTATAAAGAGAAAACAGGAGCATCACACTACCTGATCTCAAAATATGTTACAGAGCTGTAGTAAGCAAAACAGCATGATGTTGGCATGAAGAAAGGCACATAGAACAACGGAGCAGAATGAAGAACACAGATATAATCCATGCATTTACATCCAATTTTTTTTATTTTTTCTTTTGAGATGGAGTCTCGCTCTGTCACCCAGGCTGGAGTGCAGAGGTGCAATCTCGGTTCACTGCAACCTCAGCCTCCTGGGTTCAATCAATTCTCTTGCCTCAAACTCCTGAGTAGTAGTATTACAGGTGCTGACCACCATGCTCAGCTAATTTTTATATTTTTAGTGGAGACGAGGTTTCATCACGTCGGCCAGAGTAATCTTGTACTCCTGTCCTCAGGTGATCCACCAGCCTTGGCCTCCCAAAGTGCTGAAGTTGCTGGTGTTAGCCACCATGCCCAGCCCATCCAATGGACTTTGACAAAGGTGCCAAGAACTCACAATCAGGAAAGGACAGTTTTTTCAATAAACAGTGCAGGGAAACCTGGACATCTACATGCAGAGGAATGAAACTGCACCTCTACCTGTCACCATACACAAAAATCAAATGAAAGTGGATTAAAGATGTGAGTCTAAGGCCTGAACCTGTGAAACACGTAGAAGAAAATATTGGGGAAATGCTCCAGTACATTTGTCTGAAGGAAGACATTTTGTTTTAAACCTTCAAAACACAAGTAATCGAAGCAAAAATAGACCATTGGGATTACCTCAAACTAAGCAACTTCTGCACCGCTAAAAATAAACCAACAAAGTGAAGAGACAACCCACAGATTGGGAGCAAATATGTGCAAACTATGCATCTGAGACGGGATTAATAACTAGAAGTATAAGAAGCTCAAACAACTCAATAAAACAAATGATTTAATTGAAAAAGGAGCAAAAGACATGAAATTTCCCCACATACGAAAAAGTGCTCAGTATCACTCATCATCAGAGAAACGCGAATTAAAATCAAAGTGAGTTTTCATCTCACCCCATTAAAATGGCTTTTAGGCCGGGCGAGGTGGCTCACGTCTGTCATCCTAGAACTCTGAGAGCCCGAGGTGGGCGAATCTCATAAGGTCGGGAGTTTGAGACCAGTCTGACCCACATGGAGAAACGCTGTCTCTACTAAAAATACAAAAATTAGTCGGGCGTGGTGGCGTGTGCCTGTAATTCCAGCTACTCGGGAGGCTGAGGCAGGAGAATCGCTTGAACCTGGGAGGTGGAGGTTGCGGTGAGCCGAGATCGCACCACTGCACTCCAGCCTGGGTGACAAGAGCGAAACTCCATCTCAAAATAAAATGAAATAAAATAAAATGGCTTTTAGCTGCAAGACAGGCAAAACAAATGCTGGCAAGGTGGTAGAGAAAGGAGAACCCTGGTACCCTGTTGGTAGGAGTGTAAATTAGTACAGCCATTACGGAGAAAAGTATGGAAGTCCTTTAAAGAACTAAAAAGAGGTTGGATGAAGTGGATCATGCCTGTAATCCCGGCACTTTGGGAGACCGAGGCGGGCACCTCAGTTGAGGTCATGAGTTTGAGAGCAGCCTAGCCAACCTGGGGAAACCCCATGTACACTAAAAAAAACCAAAAAGTATCCCGGCATGGTGGCGTGCACCTGTAATCCCAGCTACTAGGGAGGCTGAGGCAGGAAAATCATTTGAACCCAGGAGGCGGAGGTTGCAATGAGCCAAGATCACATCACTTGTACTCCAGCCTGGGCACAGAGGGAAACTGTCTCAAAAACAAAAACAAAACAACAAACGAAAAACTAAAAAGAGAACTTTCATAGTATCCAGCAATTTCACTACTGGGTTTATATCCAAAGGAAAGTAAATCAATGTATCGAAGTGATATCTGCACTCGTATGATTGGTGCAGCACTCTTCACAGTAGCCAAGATGTGGAGTCAACCTACCTGCCCATCAGTGGATGAATGGATAGAGAGAATGTAGTACATACGCACAGCGGAGACTACTCATCCATAGAAAGAATAACATCCTGATATTTGCAGCCACATGGATGGAACTGGAAGTCATTACAAATATTCTCATTTCTCACCCATATACAGGAGCTAAAAGGTGGATCTCATGAAGATAGAGAGTAGAATGGTGGCTACCAGAGGCCAGGAAGAAAAGGGTGGAGGATAAAACAAACAAACAAAAAATTTATATGTATGTATTTATGACCACTAGACCTTACACTTAAAATTGGTAAACGTGGCCGGGCGCGGTGGCTCATGCCTGTAATCCCAGCACTTTGGGAGCCTGAGGCGGGTGGATCACGTGGTCAGGAGTTCCAGAGCAGCTCGACCAACATGGTGAAACCCCCTCTCTACTAAAAATACAAAAAGTAGCCCGGCGTGGTGATGGGCGCCTGTAGTACCAGCTACTCAGGTGGCTGAGGCAGGAGAATCGCTTGAACCCAGGAGGCGGAGGTTACAGTGAGCTGAGATTGTGCCACTGCATTCCAGCATAGGAGACAGAGCTAGACTCCACCTCAAAAAAAAAAAAATGTTAAAAGTGGTAAGCTATATAGGTATATTTAACCTCAATGAATATTTTTTCAAACAAAAAGAAAAGGATGTAGGGGTTGCTGGTGATGACATCTCTGTGTGGGTGAGAGGCCAGGAAGGGCTTCTGGGAAATGGGTAAGGTTGAGGGGCTGAGGGAACCTCTGATCTCCCCAAACTGAGCCCAGTCTCCCCTTCTCTGGGTCTCTCCTGACCGCTTTCTACATCTGCCTGGGTTTCTGGAGCCCTAATCGGAGGCCTCCATGCAGGCCATGCAGGAGGGTTTGGAGGTGCTGTGTGTGCCATCCTGCGCCCTGATCCCTCCCTCACAGGCATGCTGCGTCTTCTCTCTGCATCTGTCCATGCTTCTCTCCATCATCAGCAGGAAGCTCCTCAGCTAAGGCTCTAGGATCATAGGACATGGGACAGATATGGGGTTTCCTCACCTGTGACGGAAACAAGCAGTGGATCACTCGAGTTTGACCACTCGTAGGGAGCGTCACGGAAAGAGCCGAAGCATCTGTAGGTCCCTCCGTGGGTGGCAGGGCCCAGAGGAAAGTCGGCCTGGAATGTTCCGTTGATGCTGCGCACTGCAGGGAGCCTACGTTCATGGGCCTCCCCTTCCCTGGATAGATGGAGCTGCAGGACAAGGTCACATTCTCTCCTGCCTGAACCGTGGGGCCCGGCTGGGCTGAGAGAGAAGGTTTCTCATATAGACCTGGAAGGAGAAGGGGCAGTTTCCTCAGGGGGGATCTTCCTTGTCACAGCTCCCCTCACACCTGACCTGAGAACTCACTCCCCTGCTCTATGGCCTAATGCTCTCTTTCTCTGTCTCACCCTCCACCCTATCTCTCTTCATGTCTATTTCCTCCTTCCACCTTCTCTGTCTCTGTAGGTCTCTGACCTCACTTCCCTACCTCTAGTTATGTTTTCCGTTTTTGGATTGTTTTATTCTCTCTGGCTCTCCTTGGATTGGTTGACTTGATGTTACTTTTTTTAACTCTGAGTTTCTCAGTTTGTGTCCCGTTCATAACTTTCTGCATATTTCTATCTATTATCTATCAATCCATCTATTTATCTATTCGGTGCCTATCTACAAATTCTCTACCTGTCATCTATATCTATATATCATCTATTTATCTATCAATTGTCTATCCGTCAATCATCTATTATCTATATATATGTATCATCTCTCTCTCTCTATTATTTCTCTCTTTGTCTTCCTCTCTATCTCTATGTATTATCTATCCATCTATCTTCATCATCATCATCTCTATGTATCATCTATTAATGAATCAATCAATCATCATCTATGTATCTATAACCTATTATCTATCATCTACCTATATATCATCTATCTATATCTATCCATCATCTATCTGTATCTATCCATCTATCATCTGTCTTGCTCTGCCTCTCGGTCTCTCTAGTTCTCTTTGGAATCTCTGCAATTCATCCCCACATCTCCATCTTTCTATGCCCTTGTGCCTCGCCCTCAGGACTCTAATTTTAGTGGTTTTCTCTGCTCTCTTCCATCATTCTCTCCACTTCTCTGCCCTCTTCTCTCTCTTTATGTGTCTGTGAGTCTCTCAATCTCCTTCCTCTGGCTCTTTCTCTGTGTGTTTATGTCTTTGCTTTTTGGTGTCCCTGATTTCTCTCTGTGCTTCTCAGTGATCCTCTCATATGTGATATGTGGGGTTATTTGGAATGTGAGCCTCAGAATCCAGTCTGGAGACCACAAGTTCACACAGCATACAGGGGTTGGTGTTCTGGGGCCATGATATTTTGGGACGATTATTCTCCATTGCATGGAAGTCAGAGGTGTCAGAATAAGCATGGCATCTGTAGGTGCCACAAGGCCTGAGGCCACAGGGCCCAACTCAGGTCAGAAATATGGGTGTCCTTGGGTTCTCCTGGTAGAGAACACTTTGTGGAGGTAAAACAGAAATGAAACTTCTAACCTGTGCCAGGTCTCTGAGCAAAGTCAGCATGGAAGGACACCTCTGTCTGGGACATGTCTGTCTGTCTCCTTTAACTCTTTCTGTCTTTTCTAACTCCCTGTATGGCCCCTGTGTTTGTCCTCTGTTATGACACCTGGTCTGTACTTGTGTCTCTTGTTTCTCTGTCTCTGTTGGCACAGACCTCACCAAGTCAGTCTCTCTCCATAAGAATACCAAGCTCATCTTCCTTACAACCACCTGGGTCTCCAAGTCCTGGATCATTCACTCTGCATCCCAATGACAATGAGAAGAATGTCTGGACACTCTCACCTATGATCACCATGTCCAGAGGGTCACTGGGAGCTGACAACTGATAGGGGGAGTGAGGAACAGAACCGTAGCATCTGTAGGTTCCTGCAAGGACAGGCATCATGGGACCAATGGAGAAGTTGGCCTTGGAAACCCCATCATGGTGCTCTCCAATGAGGTGCAAAGTGTTGTTAAACTTCCCCTCTCTGTGCAGAAGGAAGTGCTCAAACATGACATCCGACCAACATTGCAGGATGACTGTCTCTTCTGATTTCACCAGGTGACCTGGGAGGGCCAGGAAGGAAGGTTTTCTGTGGACTCCTAGGAAGAGAGGTTGTGAGTTTAGAAGGTGTCTCTCTTTATCATCCCATCCATGGCACCTGGAATGAGTGAGCCTTCCCTTCGCTGGTGTCTGTCTCTCTGCTTCCTCTCTGTGTCTTCATGTTCTTTTCTGTGCCCATAACTCCTGGTGCAGGTCCTTCCATCTGTCTCCCTCCCTCTTCTCTGTCCCTCTGTCTCTAGTAGCTGTGATTCCCTTCCCACTGGGCTCAGCCTCATCTCTTGGGCTGTTGTATCTATTTCACACTAATGTCTTTCTTACTGTCTATGTGGGAGTGGAAGAGGAAGCAGGATAGGCTGCACGTCCCGGCTCTTAGCAGCTTGGTTCAATCTCTTTTGGACGAATTGGAATCCTTGGCAGGAGGTATGAACTGATCAGTAAGGCAGGCACCAGTGTCCACACACCCTGTTCCTGGTGGGGACTGGGAGCCACTCTTGCCATGTCTGTGCCTTCTCCATGGTGCCAGTTTCCATAGGCTGGCTCCTCGTGCTGATTTGAGGAGTATCAACCCCTCCCTATGTGGATGGAGCCTGGTGGTGGCATCATCATCCCACCCTTGCTGATCTCGGTGTAGCCAACCTTCTCTTTGTTTGGTTTCTTTAATTAATTAATTAATTTTGGAGACAGAGTCTCACTCCTTCACCCAGGCTGGAGTGAAGTGGTGTGGTCTACGCTCACTGCAACCTCTGTCTCCTGGGTTCAAGCGATTCTCCTGCTCTCAGCCTCCCGAGTCGCTAGGATTACATGCACCTGCCACCATGCCTGGCTATCCTTGTGTCTTTTCTTAACTTGTCCTTGACCTGGGTTCCAGTGTTGGTTTCCTGTTGCTGCTGTAGAAAATTATCAGAAGCATGGCAGCAGGAGAGAGCACACTGACCCCCTCCGATTCTGGAGACAGAAAGCGGACCCTGTTTTTCGAGGGCTAAAATCAAGGCATCTGCAGGGCTGTGTTCCCTCTGGAGACTCAGGAGAATCAGTTACTTGACTTTCCCAGCCTCTATAGGCCACCTGCATTCATGGCTTATGGCCTTCATCCACCTTCAAAGCTGATGGAGTCTCCCACTACGCTGCTCTAATCCCCACTCTCCTCTTCCTCCTCCTTTCATGTGGACACTTGTGATTATACTGAGCCCACCGGGACAGTCCAGGCTGTCTCCCCATCTCAAGGTCAACTCATCAACAACCTGAGCTCCATCTTCCCCTTCAGTCCCTTCCCCTATAACATAAATAGTCACAGACTCCAGGGATTAGAATGCAGTCATCACTGGGGACACTTATTCTTCCCACCACAGCACCCATTTCCCTGTATTCAATCCCCCTTTACCCCAAATACAGTTAGGGCCTGCGTGATGGGACCCTCAAGGACATGCCTACCAGAAGCTCTGGGATTCAGGAGGTGGGACAAGGAGAATCCCAGACAGGAGCCCTCTGACCTGTGACCACGATCACCAGGGGGTTGCTGGGTGCCGACCACCCACTGGGGGAGTGTGTGTGTGAACCCCGGCATGTATAGGTCCCTGCATGTGACGTGGTCACAGGGCCCATGAAAAGGCTTTTCCAGAATATTCTGTTGTACAGCTCAGGGACAGGCACCCCATCATCCTTGTACAGACTGAAGTTGTTAAACCCAAGATTAGAGTGACACTGAAGAGTCACATGTTCTGGAGGCACCACAAGGCTGGGCCAGGTAGAAAGCAAGGGCTTGTCCTGACCACCTTGGGGTGAAGGAGGCGCCGCCTTAGAGAGGAGGATGTGGAGCTGTGCCTCCCTCCCTGTGCTCAGAAGATTCTCCCCACTTTCCACATTTCTATGGCTGCTATCACACCTTGGTGCCTAGGGCTAAAGGAAGGACCCATCCCACAAAGACAAGGTGTCTCCGTACAACAAAAGTGTCAGCTGAGAACTTTGAGCAAGTGCTGAGTAAGAGACTCCTACTAGATTTTAATACTGTAAGATTACTGACATAAAACAACACAGGGTAGACATGAAGTGGAGGGCATGTCCTTTGAGAATGGAATATCAGCAGTTGCCTGAATGAAAATAAAAAACTTAGCCCCCATCAGAGGATTTGGAATGTCAGGGCCATGGCTGTGGTTTCCCACCTCTTCTGGTAGAATGACAGCAGCCACACTGCAGCCCCTACCGTCATGGAAACGCTGAAGTGTGTGAGTAACACCTTTGTCCTCAGAGGATCTGCTGTTCCTACCACTTCCCCACCACACAACCCAGCTTTGAACACCCTAGTCCAACCCTGGTCCCCACACAACTTGACTCTGCCAAGGGGTTGAGAGGCCAGGGAGGCAAGGTCGGAACTGTGGGCCGAGCACCCCAGGGTCCCCTCTTCCTAGTTTATGAGAGACTCCCTGACAGGACTTCCCTCCCGTTTCAGGAAAATCCTCTTATGTGGGGAGATGACACCCTAAGGTTTGGAGAAGGACTTACCCTCCTGTGGCCAGGCCCCCTGCAGCAAGAAGAACCCTGGAAAGAAAGATCATGATGGAAGATCCATTTGCAGGCAAACAAGGCCTTCCTTGCTGCCCCCACTGGGCTGTGAGTCTTGATAGCCAGCCCCTTCCTGGGCCGAAGGGAAACTCACCATCAGAGCCTACCTGCACCCAAGAACAGTGCTCTCGGCTGTGCAGAGACCCAGCCTCCAGGCCCATATCCCCACCCCAAGCCCATATCTCCACTCCAGGCCCATATCTCCACTCCAGGCCGATATTTCCACCCTAGACCCATATAGCCAATCCGGGCCCACATCTCCAATCCAGGCTCAGATCTCCACCCTCGGCCCATATCTCCAATCCAGGCCCATATCTCCACTCCAGGCCCATATCTCCACTCCAGTCCCATATCTCCTCTCCAGTCCCATATCTCCACTCCAGGCCCATATCTCCACCCCAGGCCCAGATCTCCACCTCCAGGCCCATAACTACACTCCAGGATCATATCTCCACTCCAAGCCCATATCTCCACATCAGGCCCATATCTCCACTCCAGTCCCATATCTCCACACCCAGGCCCATATCTCCATTCCAGGCCCATATCCCCATCCTAGGCCCATATCTCCACCGTAGGCCCAGATCTCCACTCCAGGCCCATATCTCCACTCCAGGGCCATATCTCCACTCCAGGCCCATATCTACACACCAGGCCCATATCTCCACCCCATGCCCATGTCTCCACTCCAGATCCATATCTCCACCCCACGCCCATATCTCCACTCCAGGCCCATATCTCCAACCCACGCCCATATCTCCACCTCCAGGCACATATCTCCACCCCACGCCCGTATCTCCACTCCAGTCCCATATCTCCACTCCCGGCCCATGTCTCCACCCCATGCCTATATCTCCACTCCAGTCCCATATCTCCACTCCAGGCCCATATCTCCACTCCAGACCCATATCTCCACTCGGCCCATGTCTACACTCCAGGCCCATATCACCACCTCCAGGCCCATATCTCCACTCCAGGCCCATATCTCCACCTCCAGGCCCGTATCTCCACTCCAGACCCATATGTCCACTCCAGGCCCATATCTCCACTCCAGGCCCATATCTCCACTCCAGGGCCATATCTCCACTCCAGGCTCATATCTCCACTCCAGGCCCATATCTCCACTCCAGGGCCATATCTCCACTCCAGGCTCATATCTCCACTCCAGGCCCATATCTCCACTCCAGGGCCATATCTCCACTCCAGGCCCAGATCTCCACCTCCAGGCCCGTATCTCCACTCTAGTCCCATATCTCCACTCCAGGCCCATATCTCCACCTCCAGGCCCATAACTTCACTCCAGGCCCATAACTCCACTCCAGGCCCATATCTCCACCTCCAGGCCCATATCTCCACTCCAGGGCCATATCTCCACTCCAGGCTCATATCTCCACTCCAGGCCCATATCTCCACTCCAGGGCCATATCTCCACTCCAGGCCCAGATCTCCACCTCCAGGCCCCTATCTCCACTCTAGTCCCATATCTCCACTCCAGGCCCATATCTCCACCTCCAGGCCCATAACTTCACTCCAGGCCCATAACTCCACTCCAGGCCCATATCTCCACCTCCAGGCCCATATCTCCACTGCAGACCCATATCTCCACTCCAGGCCCATATCTCCACTCCAGGCCCAGATCTCCACTCCAGGCCCAGATCTCCACTCCAGGCCCAGATCTCCACCTCCAGGCCCCTATCTCCACTCTAGTCCCATATCTCCACTCCAGGCCCATATCTCCACCTCCAGGCCCATAACTTCACTCCAGGCCCATAACTCCACTGCAGACCCATATCTCCACTCCAGGCCCATATCTCCACTCCAGGACCATATCTCCACTCCAGGCTCATATCTCCACTCCAGGCCCGTATCTCCACCTCCAGGCCCATAACTTCACTCCAGGCCCATAACTCCACTCCAGGCCCATATCTCCACTCCAGTCCCATATCTCCACTCCAGTCCCATATCTCCACCCTAGGCTCCTACCTCCCCTCCAGGTTCCTATCTCTCCTCCAGGTTCCTCTCTCCACTCCAGGTTCCTATCCCCACTCCAGGCCCATATCTCCACTCCAGGCCCAGATCTTCACTCCAGGCCCAGATCTCCACTCCAGGCGCAGATCTCCACTTCTAGGCTCATCACTCCATCTCTAGGCCCAGATCTCCACTCCAGGCCCATAACTCCACCTCCAGGCCCATATCTCCACCTCTGGGCCCAGATCTCCATCCCCACGCTCCCTCCCTCTATTCCCTTCCAGGACTCACCAACACACGCCATGATGATGACCATGAGCGACATGGTGCTGCCGGTGCAGACAGGCGGCCGCGCCCCAGCTCAGCTCAGCAGCGCACAGGATGTTATTTGGCGCCCTGCCCATGCAGTTTACATGTTGACCACATCATGGGAGGGTGACGTACGCAGGCTTTTTCTACCTTGCATGAGGCCCAGTGGGTGCTCGCTCAAGAGCAGAACATGGCTTCCTGGAAATTGCTCTCACTAGAATTGACACCTCGCGTCCTTCACTATGACCAACTCAAAACATGTCTTAGATCCAACCTCCCAAACATGAGATGCCTAAAATCTGTGCTAACATGAAAGACTTTTCATGAATTTTTATTGTTTTTATCTGAGATTCGAACTCTTCTTCCTGTGTAATATGCAAAATATCTAATAGGTATTATTAGTGTTTTCAGAGTCATTGTGACTAATAAACCATTAGAATTGTTCATGCTTGTATTTCTAGTATTACAGCAGAACCAGTTCAAATGATTTAAATTCCCAGGGAAGGATTATGCAATTATTTACAATCTTAGAATTGTACTTTATCAGCAAAAACCACACATGTAAATTCTGGATTTTTGTAGTTTTATCTATAATTTGTCTCATGACTCAAGATTCCAGAGTCCCAACTCTGGAGTTTGCTCTCTCTCTGTCTCTCTGCCTCCCTCATTTTAAATTTTACAGAAATATCCAGTAACATAATGCTATAGAAAATCAAGTTTCCCCCAGCAGGTCGGGAAGCCGAGGTGGGCGGATCAACTGAGATGAGGAGATTGAGAGCAGCCTGGCCAACACAGTGAAACCGCGTCTCTGCTAAAAATTCAAAAATTAGCCATGCCTGGTGGCAGGCACCTGAAACGCCAGCTACTCAAGAGACTGAGGCACGAGAATCGCCTGAACCTGGGAGGCGGAAGTTGCAGTGAGCTGAGATTGCTCCACTACAGTCCCGCCTGGGCGACAGAGCAAGACTCCGCCTCAAGAAAAAAAAATAGCAAGTAGCCTATAATAACAAATTAGAGGGCTCTGGCTACTAAATTTAAAGGGTTTTATAAGGCTACATGAAGTGCAGCATCCTCAAGAGTGTGGACACAGAGAGCCCCTTAGCAGAAACAGTGTCTAAAATACATCCGTGTACACACAGTCCCTTTAGAGTTGACAAAGGCTGCCGTGTGGTTTAAGGTGGCATAGAATGTCTTCTTAATAAATAATATTAAACCAAAGGGTTACACGTAGGAAAAAATAAATCTAAACTTATTCTCACACTATAAAAACACTTCTTACTTTTTATCTAGTTATTGTACATTTTTTATGATTTATATTTAAAATTGAGAAATAAAAGTCATATACGGTCATCCTTTACTATTCGTGGGTGATTGGTTTCAGGATCTCCACTCAGGTACCAAAATCTGCAGATGCTCAAGCCTCTTACATAAAATGACACAGCATTTGGATATAACCCATGCACATCCTCCTGTATACATGAAATCATCTCTTGATTACTTATAATTCCTGATACAGCCTACACACTGCCTCATTTGTGTCCATTCAACATAGTTTTGCATTTTGAAACTTTGTGGACATTTTCTCTGAATATTTTTGATTTACACTTGGTTCAATAAACACCTGTAAACCCCACAGATATGGAGGAGCGACTGTATATTTATAGTATGAAATATGATGTGTTGATATGTGTCCCCGTGGAGATGAGACTAGCAAGGCTTATGACTCTACAAATGTTTCATCGTGGAATGACTCTGCCAGCTTTCCAGGTTGCAGAGAGTAAGAATATCACTTGTTCATGTGATTCACGATCCTTGGAACCTCCTATGTGCTGCATCTTTGGATGGAAATTGGAGTCCCAGAGACAAATGAGGCTCCACCCTGCTTCCAGAAGCTCAGAGTCCAGGGGTGAGAACCCAGCGGAGAACAGATGGGGTTATGTGGACATGGTAATGATAACAGCGGTTTCTTTCAGCGAATACAGTGTCACATTACCTGAAGCAATGAGGGCAGACATGTTTATTTGAAGAGGAGACAGCTACATTGAAATCACAAAAAATTTTATAAGTTTCACTGCTGACAGAAGGCTGGAAAATAGTCCGAAGAAAGGTGAAACAGCATGAGGGAAGGTGGAACAGCACGTGGGTAAGTGCCACGTCAAGAGGGAGCCTCTTGTATGTTTGGAATTGTGAGTTCCTCAGTGTGATTGCAGCCTCAAGTAGACTAGGAAGTAAGCCAGTTAGGTTGGAGAGGTGGGCAGGGGTCAAGTGAAATGGAGAACTGTGGGCTAAGCAAAGGAGTGTGTTTTCTTTCCAGCAGGCAGTGGGGACCTAGACATTTGTAAGCAAGAGAGAGGCACCAGATTTGTGGCGTGAGGAGGAGCGATGCCCTAAGATGAAGACTCACGCCTTCAGATTCCAGCTGCTGGTACATGGGAGCTGGCAACTCGGTTTTGAGACAGGGCTGTTGTCTCCCTAGAAGACGTCCTCAAGGCCTGACTGTGGTGCTCATGGGCAGGAGACAACTTTGGATCTGGGCTTAGCATTTGGAAGTTCCGTGTACAAGATGGTATCTGTAGGGGGTGTCTTGGGCCTCTGAGAAGGGCGAGTGATTTTTCTCTGTGTGAAAACGCAGTGATCCAACTGTGCGTATGTCACCTCCTCAGGGTCTTGTTCATCAGAGTCCTGGAGAGAGGGAAATGCTGAGTGAGGGAGGGAAATGCTGAGTGAGGGAGGGTGCTCACGTTTTCCAGGACTGTTTGGGAATAACACTAGCCACGAGGCTGGGCCGAGGAGCACCTACCTCGCTGTTGGCTGTTCTGTTCCCTGCAGGCTCTTGGTCCATTACAGCAGCATCTGTAGGAGACGGAAGTCAACAAAAGAGCTCGGAGGGCACTTCTGGGTCCTCATTTCATAAGCAGATACCAACAAACAGGGGGAGGCCATAGGTGCCTGAGGTCCCTCAGTTGCCAACAGCAGACTCAGACATTCTATCTCTCTGAGCTCAAGGACCCATCCCATGAATAGCTCTGAGTTCCCATCCCATTGATTCTGTCTCCCACTTTCTGCCTGTCATGGAACCTTCTCCTGGATGTGAGTGGCTGCAGGGGACATGAGGATACAGTTCAGAATCAGGCAACGGTCTGTGAGCTGAAGGCAGGGGCAGGGAGTCTGGTGCTCTCTCTAGAAAGTCCTGCCTCTGTGGCTCCTGTCTTGGGCCAGGGACCATCCTGCCAGTGAGGAACACACAGCTGTGTGCTCCCATCCTGCTTCCCCACATGGCCCTGAGCTCTCTGGCCTGTGCCCCGTGAGACTTACTTTTTTTGTTGGAGCACCAGAGATGAAGGAGAAAGAAGAGGAGGAGGATGAAGAGGATGATGACCACTGAGGTCCCAATCAGAATGTGCAGGTGTCTGGGGTTACCTGGAAGAAGAGGAGACACCAGTAAGAAGCTAATCATAGCAGTTTCTCTATATGAATTGTCTTGCATTTCTTGATTGACAGGTAACCACTTACAGCATCTCTTTCGGACAAGCACCCAGATGGCGGGAGATCTAGCTTCCTCCTGCTTTCTCAGTTATAGCTCTCATAGTAACCATGGAACGTGCTGAGGATACAACTACTTTAGTTGAGATGTTTGACCCCTTCAAACCTCACATTGAAATTTAACCCCCAGTGTGGGAGGTTGGGCCTCTTGGGAGGTGTTTGGGTCATGGAGGTGGATCCATCATGAACAGATCAATGCTGTCCCAAGGAGACGGGGTTAGCAAGTTCCCTCTCTATTAGTTCCTGGAGAGCTGGTTGTTAAAAAGAGCTTGGAAGCTCCATTGCTCCCCCTCCCCCTTGCTCCCTCTCTTGCCGTGTGATCTCTGTGGTCTCTGCACAGACAGACCCTCCTTCCCTTCTGCCAGAGTGGGAGCGGCCTGAGGCCATCATAAGAAATAGATGCTGGTGCCATGCTTCCAGTACAGCCTGCAGAACGGTGAGGCAAACCAATCTCTTCTTTAGAAGTTACCCAGGCTCAAGTGTTCCTTTAGAGCAACAAAAATGGACTAAGACAGCAAAGTCCTGAGATCAGGAGGATTGTCCCAGAACAGCCTGGGCTGTCTTCCTGTTCTTCCTGGAGGAGGACGTCATGCAGTGCTTTAGCTGAGTGCTTCCTGTGGCTCCAGGGTACAAAACCCAGGCTGGGCTGCTTTCTGGCTTCCCCCAGCTACACTGCAAATGGGGTGACTCCACATGTCTCGAGCAGCTTTTCTGAGCCTTGGGGAACTGGCTCACATTGAAATGTAGGCTTCTGTTGTCACTCGCTGCTTATCTGTTAGTAATGAACCTGCCTATGTAACGTATTCTCTGTGTGTTCTGTCTCCCTGGAGTGACGGTGAGTGATAGGAATTGGCATAGGCCCAGGTGCAGTCCAGGAGGTGTTTAGAGTCTTCTCTGGGAAGACTGGACTGGGATTGATACACAGCGAATGTGCTTTAGGATTTCTACATCCACGGCATTCTTGAGTTAAACAACTTGCATTCTCCAAGAAAAGGAAACAAAAGTGAAATCAATATAAAAAAAGCGAAGTAGAATTCTCTTATGTCAAACAGCCAGAAAATAGTGTTGAAGCCCGTGTGAAATGTGCTACTCTTTGTGATCTCGGGAGACACATGTTAGGCTGCTGTTCTACCTCAGAGGCTGGGGGAAGGACCACCCCCTCGACTATCTATTGCTTCAATACCACCTGTCCTCCTGTGAATTAGTAGGAAAGGGGAGCAGGAGCTAGTGCTGGCACTGATCTCTGATTCCAAGATCTGGACTCACTCCAAGGAGTATTAGCATTTACCTCCCCATGATCTATCTGTATTTCCACAGGTGATTGGAAGTAGGGGTGAGATGGGGGATTTGGGTGAGGGGGCAAGTTTTTTTTGTGATGACCAGAGCACTTTCTCTATTCCAGGATTTGTGCTGGAGGATTCAGCGGGCTTTCACATTTTCTATATGATCTCATGCTCACAGAAAGCCAAATACGGAAGAGGTTTTAGGCTGATTGCCTAATGGATAAGATAAAGGATCAAAGAAGTAATTATAGAGAAATAGAAAAATGATGATGGGAATTCAGGTGCCTTTGTCATTCGTGTGTGTTTTATTATATTTATGCATTTCTTATTTTTATTTTTTGAGATGGAGTCTCCTTGTGTCACCCAGGCTGGAGTGCAGTGATGCGATCTCCACTCACTGCAACCTCCACCTCCTGGGTTGAAGTCATTCTCCTGCTTCATCCTCCAGAGCAGGAGCTGGGATTACAGGGATGCACCACCATGCTCGGCTAATTTTTGTATTTTTAGGAGAGATAGGGTTTCACCATGTAGAGATAGGGTTTCTCCATGTTGGCCAGGCTGGTCTCGAACTCCTGACTTCTTGGAATCCACTGGCCTTAGCCTCCTGCAGTGCTGGGTTACAGGAGTGAGCCACCGTTCACAGACTTGTATACTATGCTATAATAGGTCCCTTCATTTCCACCACCCCTCATATATCTGTCACTCCTTTGCCAGGTATTGATTTATGTGTAGGAGGAATAAATCTCAGAAAGAAATTAATTTAGCAAGGATTAAACAACTAGGAAACTCAAACCCAGCAAGCCCTCCCTGCAAATGATTCTACCTCCCAAACATAGCTTATATCCATCTGCTTCATCCACTTAGGGTCTAAATCAGCACCACATTTCACCAGTGGGGCGGCAATTGCCTTTTCCACTGTCTCCTAGATTCCAGTTACGCACCTGGGCCTCCCTTATTTTCATGTCAGTCACTATTAATCATGTAGGGATTCCTGGCTACCCCGAGGTGAATCCAATGGCTGTGAGTGTCAAACACACACTCCTTGTTGCTCCTTAGTTTCCTGTGTACCCAGTGTGCTCTCCGTCTCTCCACAGTCGTCTTGTCATTCTCCCCACCTCATTCCCAGCATTTCAGGCAGAGCCTCTTCCTTCCACATCAGATTGTTTTCAGCTTTCTGCCTTCACGGCTGACAGCTGTGTGTGGAAAATCCTTCCGCCAATCTTTCAGGGGTTCAATCCGTGTTTTTCATTAATGTCACAAATATCTGATTAGTGAGACCTTCTCTGTCACCCAAAATTATACACTCAGCATTATCTATTATTTATTTTGAATTCTGGCTGGGCAAAGTGGCTCACGCCTGTAATCCCAGTACTTTGGGTTGCTGAGATGGTCGGATCACTTGAGGTTGGGAGTTTCAGACAAGCTTGGCCAACATGGTGAAACATCCTCTCTACAAAAAATATACAAAAAGAATTAGCCGGGCATGGTGGCAGTTGCCTGTAATCCCAGCTACTCGAGAGGGTGAGGCAGGAGAATCACTTGGATCCAGGAGACGCAGGTTGCAGTGAGCCAAGATCGTGACACTGCACTGTAGCCTGGAAGACAGAGGGAGACTCTGTCTCAATAAATAAATGAACGAACAAACAAATAGATTTCATGCACAGATGCTTCCCAATGGATCATTCATTTATTGGTCCACTTGTGCACTCATTTTCTGTCCTCCCATTTAACCATCTGCAATATCAGTGTCCCAAGAGCAGAGGCCAAATGCATCTTGTTCACCGTTCGTGGAAGGCAGGAGAATGCTGTCCCACCCCAAAATGTCCCTGTCCTGGCCTCCATAGCTTGTGAATATCTTATTTTACATGGAAAGAAGGAATGAAGATTGCAGATGGAATTACGGTTGCTAGTCAGCTGAACTTAAAACAAGGGTATCCTGAATGATTTCCGGGAGATTATGATGGATTTTCATCTTGGTGAACCCAATAGAATCCCCAAGTTTTCAAAAGATAAGGAAGAAGGGAGAGCAGCATTCAGAGAAAGAGGTGTGGTAAGGAAGAAGGGTCTGAGTGATGCCATGTGAGATGTGACCAGTCTTTGTGGGCTTTGAGGAAGGAGGAAGGGGACCAGGAGCCAAGGAACTGGGAGCCTTTAGAAGCTGGGACAAGTGAGAAGCAGATTCTTGCCTGGAATCCTCAGAGGGAAGGCAGCCTTGCTGTCACCTTGATTTTAGCCCAGTAAGATGCACTTCCTACTTTGAGCTACAGCACTGTAAGATAATTAAAAAACCGTTTTGTTTTCACCCACGAATCTTGTGGAAATTTGTTATGGCAACAATAGGAAAGGATTCCAACTGCACAGCCTGAGCATGGGGCCGTGGCTGAATGAGTCAGTGAGTCGAAGTGTGCGTGCATGAGCTCTGTTCTCTGTTACGGCAAGGCTCTTGCTCTGCTGAGTCAGCCAGGGTTGCTTCATGACCAACAGTAATTCATTCCTTGGCAAGTGGAACTTCTCTAAAACACCTCGCCCTCATCAGATGTTCCCTTCCCTTCCCTCTCTCAAGTCCCCAGGAATTTATCCTCCAGTTAGGAATGCAGGAAGAAAAAACACTGCATGTTTCCTGAGAAGGATGTCAGATTGGCAATCATTCTTCTAGCTTGTAGGAGGTCTCACCTGCAGGACATTAAAGGTTAAGAGACTTCGCTGAGCCCTTTGGTGGCCCTAGATCCCTTTCACTGTTGGAGTGTCTGGAGTTCAGAGATGGTGGAAGACAGGCCCTCATTCACAGAGCTGGGAGGTTTGAGCCAACACTTGCATCCAAGGCTTCCACCTCCCCAGGTTTCCAAAAGCAGAGATAAGAGGGGTCCTTTACTCACCAGATTTGGAGCTTGGTTCTGTGGGTGAAGGCCAACTACTTGAAGGGTTTCCTAGAACATGGGACAGGAGAGATGTGAGGAAATGAGGGTGCTTGTCCTCTACTCAATGGAAATCTTTGAGGTTGGTTCATGGCCAACACTCTGTTATCTAATGTTGGACCCTGGGAGTCTTGGGATCCTCTTCTCCATAATTTTTGTGTGCGATGCCCACTGTCTTGAGACTTGAAGGTATAAAGAGAAAACAGGAGCATCACACTACCTGACTTAGAAATATGTTACAGAGCTGTAGTAAGCAAAACAGCATGACATTGGCATAAAGAAAGGCACATAAAAAATGAAACAGAATGGAGAACACAGATATAATCCATGCATTTACATCCAATGGCTTTTTTTGTGTGTGTGTGTGATAGAATCTTGCTCTGTCATGCAGGCTGGAGTGCAGAGGTGCAATCTCAGCTCAATGCAACCTCCACTTCCTGGATTCAAGCAATTCTCTTGCCTCAAACACCCGAGTAGTGGTATTACAGGCACTGGTCACCATGCTCAGCTAATTTTTGTATTTTTAGTAGAGACGAGGTTTCACTCTGTTGGCCAGCCTGGTCTTGAACTCCTGGCTTCAGGTGATCCACCCGCCTCGGCCTCCCAAAGTGCTGGAATTGCAGGTGTGAGCCACCATACCCAGCCCATTTAATGGACTTTGACAAAGGTGCCGAGAACTTACAATCAGGAAAGGACAGTCTTTTCAATAAATGGTGTGGGGAAAACTGGATATCTACATGCAGAGGAATAAAACTGCATCTATACCTGTCACCATACACAAAAATCAAATGAAAATGGATTAAAAACATGAGTCTAAGGCCTGAACCTATGAAACATGTAGAAGAAAATAATGGGGAAGACATTTGTCTGACGAAAGACATTTTGTTTAAAACCTTCAAAACACAAGTAATCAAAGCAAAAAATAGACCATTAGGATTACATCAAACCAAGCAACTTCTGCACCACAAAAGATAAACCAAGAAAGTGAAGAGACAACCGACAAAATAGGAGCAAATATTTGCAAACTATTCATCTGAGACGGGATTAATAACTGGAAATATAAGAAGCTCAAACAACTCAATAAAACAATTTAATTAAAAAACGAGCAAAAGACATGAGGAGACATTTCTCCACAAACAAAACATAGAAATGGCGATCACGTATATGAAAAAGTACTCGGCATCACTCATCATCAGAGAAATGTAAATTACAATCGCGATGAGTTTTCATCTCATCCCATTAAAATGCCTTTTAGGCCGGTGGCTCACGCCTGTAATTCCGGCACTTCAGGAGGCGGAGGTGGGCGGATCACCTGAGGTCGGGAGACCAGCCTGACCATCATGGAGAAACTCCCTCTCTACTAAACATACAAAAATTAGCTAGGCGTGGTGGCACATGCCTGTAATCCCAGCTACTTTGGAGGCTGAGGCAGGAGAATCAGTTGAACGCGGGAGGCGGAGGTTGCAGTGAGCTGAGATCACACCCTTGCACTCCAGCCTGGGAGACTATGAGTGAAACTCCATCTCAACATAAATAAATAAATAAAATAAAGTAAAGTAAAATGGCTTTTACTGCAAGACAGGCAAAACAAATGCTGGCAAGATGGTAGAGAAAGGAGAACCCTGGTACCCTGTTGGTAGGAATGTAAATTAGTACAACTATTATGGAGAAAAGTATGGAAATTCTTTAAAAAACTAAAAGGAGGCTGGGCATAGTGGCTTATGCCTGTAACTTCAGCACTTTGGGAAACCGAGGCAGGCACCTCACTTGAGGTCAGGAGTTTGAGAGCAGCCTGCCCAAAATTGGGATATCCCGTCTGTGCTAAAAAAATACAAAAATTAGCCAGGCATGGTGGCGTGCACCTGTAATCACAGCTACTAGGGAGGCTGAGTCAGGACAATCATTTGAACCTAGGAGGCACAGGTTGCAATGAGCCAAGATCTCACCACTTAGACTCCAGCTTGGACTAAGGAGGGAAACTCTTTCTCAAAAAAGAAAAAAAAAAAAAGAGAACTTTCATAGTGTCCAGCAATTTCACTACTGGGTTTATATCCAAAGGAAAGGACATCAGTGTATCGAAGTGATATCTGCACTCATATGACTGTTCCAGCACTGTTCACAGTAGCCAAGATGTGGAGTCAACCTACCTGCCCATCAGTGGGTGAATGGATAGAGAACTGTGGTACACACACACAGTGGAGACTACTCATCCATAGAAACAATAACATCCTGTCATTTGCAGCCACATGGATGGAACTGGAGGTCATTACAAAGATTCCCATTTCTCACCCACATGCAGGAGATAAAAGGTGGATCTCATGAAGGTGGAGAATACAATGGTGGACACCAGAGGCCAGGAAGGGAAGGGTGGAGGGTAACAAAAAAAAGAATATAGATGTATTTATTTATTTAGAAACAGAGTCTCTCTCTGTCTCCCAGGCTGCAGTGCAGTGGCATGATCTCGGCTCAGTGCAACCTCTGCCTCCTGGGTTTAAGTGCTTCTCCTGCCTCAGCCTCCCAAGTAGCTAGGACTACAGGTGCATGCCAGCATGCTCGGCTAATTTTTCTTGTCTGTTTAGTAAAGATGAATTTCCCACATGTTGGCCAGGGTGATCTCGAGTTCCTGATCTTAAATGATCCACCTTCCTTGGCCTCTCAAAGCGCCGAGATTACAACCGTGAACCACCACACCCAGCATATAAAGGTATTTATGACCACTAGATTTTACTTTTAAAAATGGTAAAGGTGGTAAATTATATAGTTACATTTAACCTCAATAAATATTTTTGAAAATGAAAAGAAAAGGGTGTAGGGGTTGCTGGTGATGATATCTCTCTGTGTGGGTGAGAGGCCATGATGGGCTTCTGGGAAATGGATAAGATTGAGGGGCTGAGGGAACCTCTGATCTCCCCAAACTAAGCCCAGTCTCCCCTTCTCTGGGTCTGTCCTGACCGCTTTCTCCATCTGCCTGGGTGCCTGGAGCCCTGATCGGAGGCCTCCATGCAGGCCATGAAGGAGGGTTTGGAGGTGCCCTGTCTGCCATCCTGCGCCCTGACTCCGCCCTCACACCTGCTGTGTCTTCTCTCTGCATCTGTCCATGCTTTTCTCCATCATCAGCAGGAAGCTCCTTAGCTAAGGATTTAGGATCATAGGACATGAGAGAGATATGGGCTTTTCTCACCTGTGACAGAAACAAGCAGTGGGTCACTCGGGTCTGACCACTCGTAGGGAGAGTGACGGAAAGAGCCGAAGCATCTGTAGGTCCCTCCGTGGGTGGCAGGGCCCAGAGGGAAATCTGCCTGGAATGTTCTGTTGACCTTGCGCACTGCAGGGAGCCTACGTTCATGGGCTCCCCCCTCCCTGGATAGATGGTACATGTCATAGGAGCTCCGGGAGCTACAGGACAAGGTCACGCTCTCTCCTGCCTGAACCTTGGGGCCCGGCTGGGCTGAGAGAGAAGGTTTCTCATATGGACCTGGAAGGAGAAGAGGCAGTTTCCTCAGGGAGGTTCTTCCTTGTCATAGCTCCCCTCATACCTGAGCTGAGAACTCACTCCCCTGCTCTATGACCTAATGCTCTCTCTCTCTCTCTCACCCTCCACCCCATCTCTCTTCATATCTGTTTCCTCCTTCTACCTTTTCTGTCTCTCTAGGTCTATGACCTCACTTCCCCACCCTGAGGTATGTTTTCCCTTTTTGGATTGTTTTATTCTCTCTGACCCTCCTTGGATTGGTTGACTTGATCTTCCTTTTTCTTTAATTTTGAGTCTCTCACTTTCTGTCTTGTTCATAACTTTCTGCACATTTCTATCTATTTATCTATTTTGTGTCTATCTACAAATTATCTATCATCTATATTTATGTATCACTTATCTATCTCTCTATCAATTGTCTGTCTGTCTATCTATCCATCAATCATCTATTATCTATATATGTATCATCTATCTCTCTCTCTATTACCTCTCTGTCTGCCTCTCTGTCTCTATTTATGTATCATCTATGTATATATCTATGTGTCTATCATCATCATCGTCATCTCTATGTATCATCTATCAGTCATCATCTATGTATCTATAACCAATCCATTATCTATCATCTACCTATTTATCATCTATCTACGTCTATCTATCCATCTATCATCTCTCTCTCTCCGTCTCCTTGTCTTTCTCTGCCTCTCAGTCTCTCTAGTTCTATTTGGAATCTCTGCAATCCATCCCCACATATTTATCTTTCTCTGTCTTTGTGTCCCTCCCTCAGGGTTCTGATTTTGGGGCTTTTCTCTCCTCCTTTCCATCATTCTCTCCATTCTGCCCTCTTTTCTTTCTTTTTATGTGTCTGTGAATCTCTTAATCTCCTTCTTCTGGCTCATTTTGTGTGTGTTTATGTCTTTGCTTTTTGGTGTCCCTGATTTTTCTCTGTGTCTCTCAGCGATCCTATCATATGTGGGATTATTTGGAATATGAGCCTCAGAATCCAGTCTGGGGACCCCAAGTTCACACAGCATACAGGGGTTGGTGTTCAGGGGCCATGATATCCTGGGATGATTACTCTCCATTGCATGGAAGGCAGAGGTGTCAGAATAAACACGGCATCTGTAGGTGGCACAAGGCCTGAGGCCACAGGGCCCAACTCAGGTCAGAAATATGGGTGTCCTTGGGTTCTTCTGGTAGGAACACTTTGTGGAGGTAAAACAGAAATGAAACTTCTAACCTGTGCCAGGTCTCTGAGCAAAGTCAGCATGGAAGGACACCTCTCTCTGGGACATGTCTGTCTGTCTGAGTGTCTCCTTTACCTCTTTCTCTCTTTTCTACCTCCCTGTATGGCCCCTGTGTCTGTCCTCTGTTATGACACCTGTTCTGTACTTATGTCTCCTGTTTCTCTGTCTCTGTTGGTACAGACCTCACCAAGTCACTCTCTTTCCATAAGAATCCCACACTTATCTTCCTCATGACCACCTGGGGGTTCCAAGTCCTGGATCATTCACTCTGTGTCCCAGTGACAATGAGAACAATGTCTAGACACTCTCACCTGTGACCACGATGTCCAGGGGATCACTGGGAGCTGACAACTGATAGGGGGTGTGAGTAACAGAACCGTAGCATCTGTAGGTCCCTGCAAGGGCAAGCATCATGGGACCGATGGAGAAATTGGCCTTGGAGACCCCATCATGGATCTGTCCAACGAGGCGTGAGGGGTCCTTAGAGATCCCCTCTTTGTGCAGAAAGAAGTGCTCAAACATGATATCTGACCAACATTGCAGGATGACTCTCTCTCCTGATTTCACCAGGGGACCTGGGTGGGCCAGGAGGGAAGGTTTTCTGTGGTTTCCTAGAAAGAGAAGTTGTGAGTTTAGAAGGCATCTCTCTTTATCATCCCATCCATGGCACCTGGAATGAGTGAGGGTTCCCCTCCCCGTGTCTGTCTCTCTCCTCCCTCTCTGCATCTCCGTGTCTTTTCTGTGCCCATATCCCCTGGTGCAGGTGCCTCCATCTGTCTTCCTCCCTCTTCTCTGTCCCTCTGTCTCCAGTAGCCCCTGACTCCCTTGCCACTGTGAAGACAGCCTCATCTCTTGGGCTGTTGTATCTGTTTCCCACTAATCTCTTTCCTGCTGTCTATGTGGGGGTGGAAGAGGACAGGCTGCATGTCCAGGCTCTTAGCAGCCTGAATCAATCTCTTTTGAACAAATCCCCAGTTCAAGTGATTCTCTTGCCTCAGCCTCCCCAGTCGTTGGATTACTCGTGCCCACCACCACATCTGGCTATCCTTGTTTGGTTTCCTAACTTGTCCTTGACCTGGGTTCCTGTGTTGGTTTCCTGTTGCTGCTGCAGAAAATTACCACAAACATGGCAGCGGGAGAGAACACACTGACCCCTTCCACTTCTGGAGACAGAAATTGGATCCAGTTCTCCCTGTGCTGAAATCAAGGTGTCTACAGGGCTGCGTTCCCTCTGGAGAATCAGCGAATCAGTTCTCTTGACTTCTCCAGCCCTTAGAGGCCACCTGCATTCTGTGACTAGTGGTCTTCCTCCACCTTCAAAGCCCGCAGTGGCTGATAGCGTCTCCCTCCCACTACACTGCTCTAATCCCCACTCCCCTCTTCCTCCACCTCTCATGTGGACCCTTGTGATTACACTGAGCCCAGTGGGACAGTCCAGGCTGTCTCCCCATCTCAAGGTCAACTCATCAACAACCTGAGCTCCACCTTCCCCTTCAGTCCCCTGCCCTGTAACATAAATAGTCACAGGCTCCAGGGATTACAATGTAGCCATCATTGGGGACAGTGATTCTTCCCACCACAGCACCCATTTCCCCTGTATTCAATCTCCCTTGACCCCAAATACAGTCAGGGCCTGGGTGATGGGACCCTGACGGACACCCCCACCAGAAGCTCTGGGATTCAGGAGGTGGGACAGTGAGAAGCCCAGACGGAAAGCCTCTGACCTGTGACCATGATCACCACGGGGTTGCTGGGTGCCGACCACCCAGTGGGGGAGTGTGGGTGTGAACCCCGACATGTGTAGTTCCCTGCATGTGCTGTGGTCACAGGGCTCATGTTGAAGCTCTCCTGGAATATTCTGCCATGGAAGATGGGAATGTGGATTCTGTCTTCTTTGTATAGCATGAAATTGTTAAACCTATGACGATAGTGACACCGAAGAGTCACGTGTCCTCCTCGAGGCACCACAGCGCTGGGCCAGGCAGACAGGAAGGGTTTGTCCTGACCACCTGGGGGAGAAGGAGGCACTGCCTTAGAGAGGAGGATGTGGAGCCGCCCCTCACTCCCAGTGCCCAGAAGATTCTCCCCATTTCCACTTTCTAAGGCTCCTACCACACCTGGGTGCCCAGGGCTACAGGAAGGACCCATCCTGCATAGACTTGGCGTCTCCCTACAACAAGTGTCAGCTGAGAACTTTGAGCAAGTTGCTGGAGAAGCAACTCTTACTAGATTTTAATACTGCAAAATTACTCATATAAAACAACACAAAGTAGACACGGCATGGAGGGCAAGTCCTATGTGAATGGAATATCAGCCAATTGATGAACTGAGCCCCCATCAGAGGATTTGGAATGTCAGGGCCATGGCTGTGGTTTCCTCACCTTTTCTGGTAGAAAGACCGCAGCCACACTGCAGCCCCTACCATCACGGAAACGCTGGAGGGTGTGAGTTACACCTTTGTCCTCAGAGGACCTGCTGTTCCTAGCACTGCTTCCCTCTCTTTCTCTGCTGCTGACACCACTTCCTCCCTGCACACCCATCTTGGAGCACCCTAGTCTCACCCCAGTCTTCACAGAGCTTGACTCAGGAAAGGGAATGAAAGGCCGGGGAAGGCAAGGTCAGAAATGTGGGCCGAGCATCCGAGGGTCCCCTCTTCCTAGTGTATGAGAGACTCCCCGACAGGACTTCCCTCCCATTTCAGGAAAATCCTCTTATGTGGGGAGATGACACCCTAAGGTTTGGGGAAGGACTCACCCATGTGTGGACCGGCCCTCTGGACCAAGAACAACCCTAGAAAGAAAGATCATGATGGACCATCCCTCTGCAGGCAAACCAGGGCACCCTGCTGCCCCCACTGGGCTGTGCGTCTTGGCAGCCAGGCCCTTGCTGGGCTGAAGGTAAACTCACCCTCGCTGCCTACCTGCCCCCAGGAACAAGGATCTCGGCTGTGCAGAGACTGAGCCTCCAGGCCCAGATCTCTACCTCCAGGCCTAGATCTACACAACAGGCCCAGATCTCCACTCCAGGTCCGTATCTCCACTCCAGGCCCATATCTCCTCTCCAGGCTGGTAAGTCCACTCCAGGCCCATATCTCCACTCCAGGCTCCTATCTCAACTCCAGGCTCATATATCCACTCCAGGCTCATATCTCCACTCCAGGCCCATATTTCCACTCCAGGCTTCTATCTCCTCTCCAGGCCCATATCTCCTTTCCAGGCTTGTATGTCTGCTCCAGGCCCGTATCTCCACCCCAGGCCCATATCTCCACTCCAGGATCATATCTCCACTCCAGGCCCAGATCTCCACTTCATGCCCTTAACTCCACCTCCGGGCCCATAACTCCACCTCTAGGCCCATATCTCCACTCCAGGCCCATATCTCCACTTCAGGCCCATATCTCTACTGCAGGCCCATAACTCCACCTCCAGGCCCATATCTCCACTCCAGGCCCATCGCTCCACTTCTAGGCCCATCACTCCACCTCTAGGCCCACATCTCCCCTCCAGGCCCATATCTCCCCTCCAGGCCCATCTCTCCACCCCAGGCACATATCTCCACCCCAGGCCCATATCTCCACTCCAGGCCCAGATCTCCACTCCAGGCACATATCTCCACCCCAGGCCCCTATCTCCACTCCAGGCCCAGATCTCCACTCCAGGCCCAGATCTCCACTTCAGGCCCATAACTCCACCTCTAGGCCCATAACTCCACCTCTAGGCCCATATCTTTACCTCCAGGTCCAGATCTCCATCCCCGCACTCCCTCCCTCGATTCCCTTCCAGGACTCACCAACACACGCCATGCTGACGACCATGAGCGACATGGTGCTGCCGGTGCAGACAGGCGGCTGCGCCCCAGCTCAGCTCAGCAGCGCACAGGATGTTATTTGGCGCCCTGCCCATGCAGTTTACATGTTGACCACATCATGGGAGGGTGACGTACGCAGGCTCTTTCTACCTTGCATGAGGCCCAGTGGGTGCTCGCTCAAGAGCGGAACATGGCTTCCTGGAAATTGCTCTCACTAGAATTGACACCTCGCGTCCTTCACTATGACCAACTCAAAACACGTCTCAGATCCAACCTCCCGAACACGAGATGCCTAAAATCTGTGCTAACATGAAAGACTTTTCATGTATTTTTATTGTTTTTATCTGAGATTCAAACTCTTCTTCCTGTGTAATATGCAAAATATCTAATAGGTATTATTAAGGTTTTCAGAGCAATTGTGACAATAAACCATTAGAATTTTTCATGATTGTATTTCTAGTATTACAGCAGAACCAGTTCAAATGATTTAAACTCCCAGGGAAGGATTATGCAATTATTTACAATCTTAGAATTGTACTTTATCAGCAAAAATCACAACATGTAAATTCTGGATTTTTGTAGATTTATCTAGAATTTGTCTCATGTCCCAAGATTCCAGAGTTCCAACTCATGGTTTGCTCTCTCTCTGTCTCTCTGCCTCCCTCATTTTAAATTTTACAGAAATATCCAGTAACATAATGCTATAGAAAATCAATTTCCCCAGCACTTTGGAAGCCGAGGTGAGTGATCAACCGAGGTCAGGAGTTTGAGACCAGCCTGGCCAATATAGTGAAACCATGTCTCTGCTAAAAATACAAAAATTAGCCATGCCTGGTAGCAGGCACTTGTAATGCCAGCTATTCAAGAGGCTGAGGCACGGAATCCCTTGAACCTGGGAGGCGGAAGTTGCAGTGAGCCGAGATCGTGCCACTGCACTCCAGCCTGGGCAACAGAGCGAGACTCTGCCTCAAGAAAAATAAAAAAAGCATAGCAAATAGCCTATAATAAATAACTAGAGGACTCCAGCTACCAAATTTTAGGGGTTGTATAAGGCTGCATAAAATGCAGCATTCTCAAGAGAGTGGACAGAGAGAGAGCCACTGAGCAGAAAACAGTGTCTAAAATACATCCGTGTACACACAGTCCCTTTATAGTTGACAAAGGCTGCCATGTGGTTTAAGGTGGAATAGAATGTCTTCTCAATAAATAACATGGGCCCAAGGGTTACACATAGAGAAAAATATATCTAAACGTATTCTCACACTATAAAACACTTGTTTATTTTATCTTGTTATTGTAATTTTTTTATGTTTTATATTTAAAATTGAGAAATAAAAATTATATACAGTCATCCCTCACTATTCGTGGGTGATTGGTTTCAGGATCTCCACTCAGATAGCACAATCTGCAGACGCTCAAGCCTCTTACATGAAATGGCACAGCATTTGCAAATAACCCATGCACATCCTCCTGTGTACATGAAATCATCCCTTGATTATTTATAATTCCTGATACAGCCTACACACAGCTTCATTTGTGTCCATTCAACATAGTTTTGCTTTTTGAAACTTTGTGGATTTTTTCTCTGAATATTTTTGATTTATATTTGGTTCAATAAACACCTGTAAATCCCACAGATACAGAGGACCGACTGTATATTTATAGTATGAAAGATGATGTGTTGATATGTGTCCCCGTGGAGATGAGACTAACAAGGCCTATGACTCTACAAATGTTTCATCATGGAATGACTCTGCCAGCTTTCCAGGTCTGCAGAGAGTAAGAATATCACTTGTTCATGTGATTCACGATCCTTGGAACCTCTTATGTGCTGCATCTTTGGATGGAAATTGGAGTCTCAGAGACAAATCAGGCTCCACCCTGCTTCCAGAAGCTCCAAGTCCAGGGGTGAGAACCCAGTGGAGAACAGTTGGAGTTATTTGGACATGGTAATGATAACACTGGAAACTTTCAGCCAAAAAAAGAGTCACCTAAAGAATGAAGGCAGACATGTTTATTTGAAGAGGAGAGAACTACACTGAAATCAAAAAAATTTTATAAGGTTTGCTGATGCCAGAAGGCTGAAAAATAGTCTGAGGAAAGGTGGAACAGCACGAGGGAAGGTGGAACAGCACGTGTCTAAGTGCCGTGTTAAGAGAGAGCCTCTTGTATGTTTGGAATTGTGAGTTCCTCAGTGTGATTGCAGCCTCAAGTAGACTAGGAAGTAAGCCAGTTAGGTTGGAGAGGTGGGCAGGGGTCAAGTGAAATAGAGAATTGTGGGCTAAGCAAAGGAGTGTGTTTTCTCTGCAGCAGGCAGTGGGGACCTTAGACATTGGTAAGCAAGAGACAGGCACCAGATTTGTGGTGTGAGGAAGAGTGATGCTCTAAGATGGAGACTCACGCCTTCAGATTCCAGCTGCTGGTACATTAGAGCTGGCAAGCTGGGTTTGAGACAGGGCTGTTGTCTCCCTAGAAGATCCCATCAAGGCCTGACTGTGGTGCTCATGGGCAGGAGACAACGCTCTGGGCTCAGCATTTGGAAGTTCTATACACACGCTGGTATCTGTTGAGGGTCTCTTGCTCCTCTGAGAAGGGCCAGTGATTTTTCTCTGTGTGAAAATGCAGTGATCCAACTGTGCGTATGTCACCTCCTGAGGGTCTTGTTCATCAGAGTCCTGGAGAGAGGGAAATCCTGAGTGAGGGAGGGTGTTCACATTTTTCAGGACTATTTCGGAATAAGACTGTATCCATGAGGCTGGGCTAGGAGGACCTACCTCCCTGTTCACTGTTCTGTGTCCCGCAGGCTCTTGGTTCATTACAGCAGCATCTGTAGGAGACGGAAGCAATCAAAACAGCTGGGAGGGCACTTCTGGGTCCTCATTTCATGAACAGATACCAACACACAGGGGGAGGCCATAGGTGCCTGAGGTCCCTCAGCTGCCAACAGCCAGACTCAGACATTCCATCTCTCTGAGTGCAAGACCCCATTCCATGAATAGCTGTCAGTTCCCATCCCATTGATTCTATCTCCCACTTTCTGCCTGTCATGGAATCTTCTCCTGGATGTGAGTGGCTGCAGGGGACGTGAGGATACAGTTCACAATCAGGCAACGGTCTGTGAGCTGAAGGCAGGGGCAGGGTGTCTGGTGCTCTCTCTAGAAAGCTCTGCCTCTGGCTCCTGCCTTGGGCCAGAGACTTTCCTGCCAGTGAGGAACACACACCTGCGTGCTCCCATCCTGCTTCCGCACAGGGCCCTGAGTTCTCTGGCCTCTGCTTCGTGAGGCTTACTTTTTTTTTGGAGCACCAGCGATGAAGGAGAAAGAAGGGAAGGATGGTAAAGAGGATGATGGCCACTGAGTACCTAATCACAGCATGCAGGTGTCTGGCGATACCTGGAGGAAGATGGGAATCCAATAAGAAGCTAACCATAGCAGTTCCTCTTTGTGGATTGTCTCTCATTTCTTGGTTGCCAGGCAACCACATAAAACACCTCTTTAAGACAAGCACCCACGAGGCGGGAGACCCAGCTTTCTCCTGCTTTCTCCGTTATAGTTTTCATAATAACAATAGAATGTGCTGATGATACAACTGCTATTGTTTCAATGTTTGACCCCTCCAAACCCCACTTTGAAATTTAATCCCCAGTGTGGGAGTTGTGCCTATTGGGAGGGGTGTTTTGGTCATGGGGGTGGATCCATCATGAATAGATTAATGCTGTCCCCAGAGGACGGGGTTAGCAAGTTCTCCCTCTATTAGTACCCTGGAGAGTTGATTCTTAAAAAGAGCTTGGAAGCTCCATCACACCCCCTTTCTCCCTCTCTTGCCATGTGATCTCTGTGGTCTCTGCACACGCAGGACCCCCTTCTCTTCTGTCAGTGTGGGAGCAGCCTGAGGCCGCAGCCAGAAATAGATGGTAGTGTCCTGCTTCTAGTACAGCGTGCAGATCAGTGAGCCAAACACATCTCTTTTCTTTAGAAGATACCCAGGCTCAAGTGTTCTTTTATAGCAACAAAAATAGGCTAAGACAGCAACATCCTGAGATCAGGAGGAACGTCTCAGAACAGCCTGGGCTGTCTTCCTGTTCTTCCTGGAGGAGAACATCATGCAGTGCTTTAGCTGAGTGTTCCCTGTGGCTCCAGGGTACAAAACCCAGGCTGGGCTGCTTTCTGGCTTCCCCCAGCTACAGTGCACATGAAGTGACTCCATGTGTCCTGAGCAGTTTTTCTGAGCCTTGAGGGACTGGCTCACCCTGAAAGGAAGGTTTCTGTTGTCACTCGCTGCTTATCTATAAGTAATGAACCTGCCTATGTAATGTATTCCCTGTGTGTTCTGTCTCCCTGGAGTGATGGTGAGTGATAGAAATTGGCACAGCCCCAGGTGCAGTATGGGAGGTGTTTAGAGTCTTCTCTGGGAAGACTGGACTGGGATTGATACACAGTGAATGTGCTTTACAGTTTCTACATCCACAACCCTCTTGACTCAAACAAATTACATTCTCCAAGAAAAGGAAAAAACAGTGACATTGAAATCAACATAAGTGAGGTTGAGCTGTCTTATATCAAACAGCCAGGAAATAATGATGAAGCTCGTGGGCAACATGCTACTTTTGTCATCTTGGGAGTCAGATATTAGGCTGCTGTTCCACCCGAGAGTCTGGGGGAAAGACCACCCCCTCCATCATCTGTTGCTTCAATACAGCCTGTCTTTCTGTGAATTACTCCAAAAGGTGACCAGGAGATAGTGCTGGCACTGGTCTCTGAGTCTACGATCTGAACTCCAAAGAATATTAGTTTTTACCTCCCCATGATCTATCTGTATCATTAATGTGATTGGAAGTAGGGGTGAGGTGGGGGATTTGGGTGAAGGGGCAAGTTTTGTGCCATGAACAGATCACGTTCTCTATTCCAGGACCTGTGCTGGTGGGTTTCACATTTTCCATATGATCTCATGCTCACAGAAAGCCAAATAAGGAAGATGTTTTCGCCTGATTTTCTTACGGATAGGATAAAGGATCAAAGAAGTCATTATAGAGAAATAGAAAAATGATGATTGGAATTGGTGTGCCTTTGTCATTCGTGTATGTTATATTATATTTATGTATTCTTTATTTTTATTTTTTGCCATGGAGTCTCACTCTGTCACCTAGGGTGCAGTGCAATGACGCGATCTTGGCTCACTGTAACCTCTCCCTCCCTGGTTGAAGCCATTCTCCTTCTTCAACTTCCCGAATAGCTGGTATTACAGGCACGCGCCACCACCCCCAGCTAGTTTTTGTATATTTAGTAGAGATGGGGTTTCACCATGTTGTCCAGGCTGATCTCGAACTCCTGATCTCACTTGATCCAGCCTCCTCAGCCTCCCAAAATGTTGGGTTACAGGTGTGAGCCACCGTTCAGAACCTTGTGTGTTATATTATAATAGGTCTCTTCCTTTGCACCACCCCTCATGTATCTCTCACTCCTCTGCCAAGTATTGATTTACATGTAGGAAAAATAAATCTCAGAAAGAAATCAATGAAGTGAAGATTAAACAATTAGGAAAAATCAAACCAGGCAAGCCCTCCCTGCAAATTACTCTACCTCACAAACACATCTTGTGTCCATCTTTCATTCATTTAGTGTCTAAATCAGCACCACATTTCACCAGGGGGGCGGGAATTGCCTTTTCCACAGTCTCCTAGATTCCAGTTATGCACCTGGGCCTCCCTTATTTTCATGTCAGTCACTATTCATCATGTAGGGATTCCCAGTTAGCCCCGAGGTAAGTCCAATGGCTGTGAGTATCAAACACACGCTCCTTGTTGCTCCTTAGTTTCCTGTGTACCCAGTGTGCTCTCTGTCTCTCCACAGTCGTCTTGTCATTCTCCCCATGTCATTCCCAGCATTTCAGGCAGAGCCTCTTCCTTCCACATAACATTGTTTTCACCTTTGTGCCTTCACGGCTGACAGCTGTGTGGAAAATCCTTCCGCCAATCTTCCAGGGGTTGATCTATTTTTTTCATTAAGGTCACAAGTATTATTTGATCAGTGAGAACTTCTCTGTCACCCGAAATTATACACTCAGCATTATCTATTATTTCTTTTAAAATACGGCTCGGCGCCTTGGCTCACGCCTCTAATCTCAGCACTTTGGGAGGCTGAGACGGGCGGATCCCTTAAGGTTGGGAGTTTGAGATAGCCTGGGCAACATGGTAAAACCTTGTCTGTACTAAAAAAAAATACCAAAAAAAAATTAGCCAGGCGTGGTGGGACATGGGTGTAATCCCAGCCTCTCGGGAAGCTGAGTGTAGAGAATCGCTTTAACCTGGGAGGTGGAGGTTGCGGTGAGCCGAGATCCCGCCACTGCACTCCAGCCTGGGGCACAGAGGGAGACACTGTCTCATAAAAACAACCAATCAATCAATCATTCTCATGCACAGATGCTTCCCAATGGATCATTCATTTATTGGTCCACTGGTGCATTCATTTTCTGCCCTCCCATTTAATCCTTTGCAATATCAGTGTCCAAGAGCAGAGGCCAAATGCACCTTGTTTACCATTTGTGGAAAGGATAAGAATGCCGCCCCACCCCAAAATATTCCTGTCCTAGTCGCCATATCTTGTGAATATGTTATTTTACATGGAAAAAAGGAATGCAGATTGCAGATGGAATTACGGTTGCTAATCAGCTAACCTTAAAAGGAGGGTATCCTAGATGATTTTAGGGAAATTATGATGGATTATCTTGGTGTTTCCAATAGAATGCCAAAGTCCTTAAAAGATGAGGAAGAAGGCAGAGCAGCATTCAGAGAAAGAGGTGTGGACAAGGAAGAAGGGTCTGAGTGATGCCGTGTGAGAGGCGTGACCAGCCTTTGTGGACTTTGAGGGAGGAAGACGGGGACCAGGAGCCAAGGAATGTGGGAGCCTCTAGGAGCTGGGAAAAGTGAGGAAGCAGATTCTTGCCTGGAACATTCAGAGGGAAGGCAGCCTTGCTGTCACCTTGATTTTAGCCCAGTGAGATGATGCATTTCATACTTCTGAGCTACAGCACCATGAGATATTTTTTAAAAATGTGGTTTCCATCCACGAAGCTTGTGGAAATTTGTTATGGCAACATAGGAAAAGGTTCCACACTGCACAGTCTGAGCATGGGGCAGTGGCTGAACGAGTAAGTGGAAGTGTCATGTGCACGGATGAACTACGTTCTCTCTTACCGCAAAGCTCTTGTTCCACTAAGTCAACCAGGGTTGGATCATGACAGACAGGAGCTCATTCCTTGGCAAGTAGAACTTCTCTACAAATACACCACCCTCAAAAATGTTCCCCTTCCTTCCCCTTCTCAAGCCCCCAGGCATTTGTCCTCCCAGTTAGGAATGCAGGCAGAACAAACACAGCATTTTTCCTGAGAAGAATGTCTGATTTGCACTCATCCTTCTACCCTGAGGTCTCAGCAGCAGAAAATTAGAGATTAAGAGATTTCACTGAGCCCTGTGCTGGGCCCAGATCCCTTTCGCTGTTGGAGTGTCTGGGGTTCAGAGACAATGGAAGACAGGCCCACAATCACAGAGCTGGCAGGTGCTGAGCCAACGCTTGAATCCAAGGCTTCTACCTCCCCAGGTTTCCAAAAGCAGAGATAAGAGGGGTCCTTCACTTACCAGTTTTGAAGCTTGGTTCAGTGGGTGAAGGCCAACTACTAGAAGGGTTTCCTAGAACACGGGACAGGAGAGAGGTGTGGCAATGAGGATGCCTGTCTTCTACTCAATGGAAATCTTTGAGGTTGGTTCATGGCCAACATTCTATTATCTAATGTTGGGCCCTGGGAGTCCTGGCATCCCATTCTCCATAATCATTGTAGGTGACACCAACTATCTTGAGACTTCAAGGTATAAGGAGAAAACAGGAGCATCACACTACCTGACTTAAAAATATGTTACAGAGCTGTAGTAAGCAAAACAACATGACATTGGCATAAAGAAAAGCACATAAAACAATGGAGCAGAATGAAGAACACGGATGTAATCCACCCATTTACATCCAATGGACTTTGACAAAGGTTCGAAGAATCTACAATCTGGAAAGGACAGTCATTTCAATAAATGGTGCAGGGAAAACTGGATATCTACATGCAGAGGGATGAAACTGCACCTCTACCTCTCACCATACACAAAAATCAGATGAAAATGGATTAATGACTTAAGACCTGAATCCATTAAATGTCTAAAAGGAAACACTGGAGAAATGCTCCAGGACATTTGTCTGAGGGAAGACATTTTGTTTAAAACCTCAAAAACACAAGTAATCACAACAACAACAAAAAAATAGACCATTGGGATTATATCAAATCAAGCAGCTTCTGCACCGCAAAGGAAGCAACCAATGAAGTGAAGAAGAGACAACCCACAGAATGGGAGCAAATATTTGCAAACTATGCATCTGAGATGGGATTAATAACTAGAATATAAAAGAAGCTCAAACACCTCAATAAAACTAATAATTTAATTATAAAATTAGTAAAAGACCTGAACAGACATTTCTCAATGAACAAAACATACAAATGAACATATATACATTGCATATATGAAAAAGTGCTCAGTATCACTAATCATCAGAGAAATGCAAATGAAGTCACAATGAGCTATCATCTCACCCCATTACAATGGGTTTTATCTCAGAGACAGACAAAACAAATGTTGGCAAGGTGGTGGAGAAAGGAGAACCCTAATACACTGTTGATAGGAATGTAAATTAATACAGCCATTACAGAGGAGAAGAATATGGAAGTTCCTTAAAAACTAAAAAGAGATTAGGCACTGTGTCTCACGCTTGTAATCCCAGCACCTTGGGAGGCTGAAGTGGGCAGATCACTGGAGGTCAAGAGTTCGAGACCAGCCTGGCTAACATGGTGAAACCCCGTCTCTACTAAAAATACAAAAATCAGCCAGGCGTGGTGGCGGGCACCAGTAATCCCAACTACTCGGGAGGCTGAGGCTGGAGAATCACTTGAATCCTGGAGGTAGAGGTTGCAGTGAGCCCAGGTGGTGCCATTGCACTCCAGCTTGGGCAACAAGAGTGAAACGCTATGTCAAAAAAACAAAAAGCATAAAACAAAACCTAAAAAGAGAACATCCAGAGGATCTAGCAATTCCACTAGTGGGTGTAAATGCAAAGAAAAGGACTTCAGTGTATTGAAGTGACATCTGCACTCCCATGACTGTTCCAGCACTGTTCACAGTAGCCAAGATGTGGAGTCAACCTACCTGCCCATCAGTGGATGAATGGATAGAGAGAAAGTAGTACATACACACAATGGAGACAACTCATCCATACAAAGAGTAACGTCCTGTCATTTGCAGCCACATGGATGGACTGGAGGTCATTACAAGGATTGCCATTTCTTACTCACATGCAGGATGTAAAAGGTGGACCTCATGAAGGTAGAGAGTAGAATGGTGGATACCAGAGGTTAGGAAGGAAGGGGTGGAGGGTAACAAAAGAAGAATATAAAAGTATTTATTTATTTATTTAGAGACAGAGTCTCTCTGTGTCACCAGGCTGCAGTGCAGTGGCATGATCTCAGCTCACTGCAACCTCCTCCTCCTGGGTTTAAGCCACTCTCCCGCCTCAGCCTCCCAAGTTGCTGGGATTATAGGCGCCTGGCACCATGCCTGGCTAATTTTATTTTTTTTGTCTTTTTAGTAAAGATTGGTTCCCCCATGTTGGCCAGGCTGGTCTCCAGCCCCTGATTTTAAATGATCCACCTGCCTTGGCGTCTCAAAATGCTGAGATTACAGGCATGAGCCACCGCACACAGCATATAAAGGTATTTATGATCCCTAGATTTTACACTTAAAAATGGTAAAGTTGATAAATTATATAGGTATATTTAACCTCAATCAGCATTTTTTCAAAGGAAAAGAAAAAGTGTAGGGGTTGCTGGTGATGACATCTCTGTGTAGGTGAGAGGCCAGGGTGGGCTTCTGGGAAATGGGTAAGGTTGAGGGGCTGAGGGAACCTCTGATCTCCCCAAACTGAGCCCAGTCTCCCTCCTCTGGGTCTGTCCTGACCACTTTCTCCATCTGCCTGGGTACCCGGAGCCCTTACTGCAAGCTTCCATGCAGGCCATGCAGGAGGGTTTGGAGGTGCCCTGTCTGCCATCCTGTGCCCTGATCCCACCCTCACACCATGCTGCATCTTCTCTCCACATCTGTCCATGCTTCTCTCCATCATCAGCAGGAAGCTCCTCAGCTAAGGCTCTAGGACCATAGGACATGGGACAGACATTGGCTTTCCTCACCTGTGACAGAAACAGGCAGTGGGTCACTCGGGTCTGACCACTCGTAGGGAGATCCATGGAAAGAGCCGAAGCATCTGTAGGTCTCTCCGTGGGTGGCAGGACCCAGAGGGAAGTCGGCCTGGAATGTTCCATTGATGCTGGGCACTGCAGGGAGCCTAAGTTCATGGGCTTCCCCCTCCCTGGATAGATGGTAGATGTCAAAGGAGCTCTGGGAGCTGCAGGACAAGGTCACGTTCTCTCCTGCGCGAACCGTGGGGCCCGGCCGGGCTGTAAGCGAAGGTTTCTCATATAGACCTGGAAGGAGAAGAGGCAGTTTCCTCAGGGAGGTTCTTCCTTGTCACAGCTCCCCTCCCACCTGAGCTGAGAACTCACTGCCCTGCTCTATGGCCTAGTGCTCTCTCTCTCTCTCTCACCCTCCACCCCCAACTCTTCCTGTCGATCCCTCCCTATGTGGTTCCAGCCTGGTGGTGGCATCAGCAGTGCACCCTTGCTGATCTCAGGGTAGCCAACCTTCTTGTTTGGTTTTTTAACTTGTCCTTCACCTGGGTTCCTGTGTTGGTTTCCTGTTGTTGCTGGAGAAAATTATCACAAACATGGCGGCAGGAGAGAACACACTGACCCCTTCCACTTCTGGAGACAGAAATCAGACCCTGTTCTTCCTGGGCTACAATCAAGGCATCTGCAGGGCTGCATTCCCTCTGGAGACTCGGGAGAATCAGTTCCATTGATTTCTCCAGCCCCTTCGTGGCTCGTGGTCTTCCTCCACCTTCAAAGCCCACAGTGGCTGGTGGAGTATCCCACGATGCTGCTCTAATCCCCATTCTCCTCTTCCTTCTCCACTCATATGGACCCTTGTGATTACACTGAGCCCAGTGGGAGAGTCCAGGCCATCTCCCCATCTCAAGGTCAACTCATCAACAACCTGAGCTCCATCTTCCCCTTCAGTCCCCTGCCCTATAACATAGTCACAGGCTCCAAGGATTACAATGTGGCCATCGATGGGGACAGTTATTCTTTCCAACACAGCACCCATTCCCCTGTATTCAATCCCCCTTTACCCCAAATATAGTTGGGGCCTGGATGATCGGACTCTGGTGGACACCCCCACCAGAAGCTCTGGGACTCAGGAGGTGGGACAAGGAGAAGCCCAGACAGGAGCCCTCTGACCTGTGACCATGATCACCAGGGGGTTGCTGGGTGCCGACCACTCAGTGGGGGAGTGCGGGTGAAAACCTCGACATCTGTAGGTCCCTGCGTGTGCTGGGGTCACAGGGCTAATGAGGAAACTGTTCCAGAATATTCTGTTGTAGAGCTCAGGGACAGGGACCCCATCTTTCTTGTACAGCGTGAAGATGTTAAACCCACGACGATAGTGACACCGAAGAGTCACGTGTCCTCCTTGAGGCACCACAGCGCTGGGCCAGGCAGAGCAGAAGGGCTTGTCCTGACCACCTTGGGGAGAAGGAGATGCCGCCTCAGAGAGGAGTATGTTGAGCTGCCCCTCCCTCCCTGTGCTCAGAAGATTCTCCCCATTTCTTCTTTCTAAGGCTCCTACCACACCTGGGTGCCTGGGGCTACAGGAAGGACCCATCCCGCATAGACGTGGCGTCTCCCTACAACAAAAGTGTCAGTTGAGAACTCAGCAGGTGCTGAGTAAGGGACTCTTACTAGATTTTAATACTGCAAGATTAGTTACACCAAAGAACACAAAGTAGACATGGGGTGGAGGGTATGACCTTTGTGAATGGAATATTAGCTAATGCCTGAACCACAATAAACAACTGAGCTCCATCAGAGGATTTGGAATGGCAGGGTCGTGGCTGTGGTTCCCCCACCTCTTCTGGCAGAATGACAGCAGCCACACTGCAGCCCCTACCGTCATGGAAACGCTGGAGGGTGTGAGTTACCCTCTTGTCCTCAGAGGACCTGCTGTTCCTAACACTGCTACCCTTCCCTCCTCTGTCGGTGACACCACATCCCCCCACACACCCCAGCTTTGAGCACCTCAGTATCCCGCCTGGGCCACACAGAGCTCAACTCAGCCATGGGGAAGAAAGGCTGGGGAGGGCTAAGACAAAACAGAGGGCTGAGCATACCAGGATCTCCTCTTACTAGTTCATGAGAGACTCCCAGGATCTCCTCTTACTAGTTCATGAGAGACTCCCAGGATCTCCTCTTACTAGTTCATGAGAGACTCCCCCCAGGCCTTCCCATGGTCAGCCCATCAGCCCACCCTCTGTGCTGCCTCCCTCCCATTTCTGGAAAATTCACTTGTATTGGGGTGAAGATGGCAACCCATCATTTGGGGAAGGACTCACCCACGTGTGCCCACACACTCTGGTCCAAGAAGAACCCTGCAAAGAAAGATCATGATGAACTATTCATCTCGGCAGCAACCTACCCTTTCCTCCTGAGCCACTGGGCGCCACGCTGGACTGAAAATTAACTCATCCTCACCACTCACTTGCTTCAGAACATGGCTCTCTGCTGGGGAGACACCCAATCTGCAGGCCCATAGTGTAACCCTGGTGCTCCTTCCCTTCCAGGACTCACCAAGACATGCCAGGATGATGACCGTGGGTGACATGGACATGGTGCAGCTTCTGCTGCCAGGACGCAGTGACTCGGCTCGACTGACCGGTGCAGAGGATGTGGTGAGGGGCCCGGATCGTGCAGTTGACACATTGACCACAACATGTGAAGGGGACATAGGTAGGCTTCTTCTACGTCATATGAGGTTCAAGTGGTGAATCAGTCAAGGGAGGAATGAGGGTTTCTGAAAACTGCAGACTAGACTTGTCACTTCACATCATGCGCAACGGCCAGGCTCAAAACACATCTCAGACTCACTTACCCCTGCACGGGACGATTGAATTCTGCACTCACATGAGGAAATTTGATGTATTTTTTTTTGTTTCTACCTGAGATTCAAACTCTCCTTGATATGTAATATGCAAAATACCTAATAGGTTTTATTAACACTATAGAGCAATCGTATTAAATAAATCATCATAATTTTCCATGGTTGTATTTTTCCTGTTAAGCCAGAAACAGATAAAATGATTTAAATCCCAGTAGAAAAGACTATATAGTTATTTCGCATCATAGAATTCCACCTTATTAGCAAAAACACAATATGTCAATTGAAGGTCTGGTCGTGTTATCTAGAATTTGTCTTATGACACAAGAGTCCAAATTCACAGTTCCCTGTCTCCCTTTTTGTCTCTCTGTAACGTGTGCTTTTTTTCTCCCTGTGTTGTTTGTGTGTCTTTCTTTCTCTCTCTCATTTGAGGAAAAAATATCAGACTGATAACATCCTCCAACTTGATACTGGAATATTGCAATAACTGAAGGTTGAAATCTACACATTTAATGTGCTGTCATTCTTACAAATGTCTCTTATTTACACCTATCTTTCTGGAGTTTGTAAGAACTTTTTCACTATGCATTTTAAATTTGTAAAACTCATAATTTTTAAAAAGGGATGGGTCTCACTGTTTGCCCAGGGTGGCCTTTACTCATTCTATAAGGCTGGCATCACCCTGATACTAAAGACAGAAAAGAACATTAAACAAAAGAAAACTACATGCCAATATTCCTGATGAACATAGAGGCAAAAATCCACAAAAAATACTAAGAACTGAATCCCGCAGCATATCAAAAAGTGAATCCACCATGATCAAGTCAACTTTATTCTTAGGGTGCAAGGTTGGTTGAACATACACAATCAATACATGTGATTCATCACCTAAACAAAACTAAAAACAAAAACCACATGATCTTCTCAACACACATGTAGAACATACTTTTTACTAAGCATTTCTTCATGTTAAAAGCCCTCAACAAGCTAAGCATTGAAGAAACATAACTCAATATAATAAGAGCCGCCTGTGACAAACCCACAACCAACATCATACTGAATGAGTAAAAGCTGGAAGAAGTTCCCTTCATAAGTGAAACAAGACAAGAATGCCCACTCTCACCATCCTATTCAACATAGTACTTGAAGTCCTAGACAGAGCCATCAGGAAAGAGAAAGAATTATAAGGCATCCAAGTAAGAAGAGAGTAGCAGAGAGAGGTAGTCAAATTACCTCTGTTTGAAGATGAGATAATTTCTATACCTAGAAACCCCATAGTCTCTGCCCAAAGGCTCCTACATCTGAGAAACAAACTTCAGCACAGTTTAAGGGCAGAAAGTCAATGTACAGGCTGGGTGTGGTGTCTCAGCCTGAAATCTAGCACTTTGGGAGGGCGAAGCGGGTGGATCACCTGAGGTCTGGAGTTCGAGACCAGCCTGGCCAACATGGCGAAACCCTGTCTCTACTAGAAACACAAATATAGCCGGACGGGGTGGTACGCAACTGTAGTCCCAGCTGCTTGGGAGGCTGAGTCAGGAGAACCGCTTGAACCTGGGAGGCAGAGGTTGCAGTGAGCGGAGATCACGCCATTGCACCTCAGCTTGGGCAACAACAGTGAAACTGCATCTCAAAAAAAAAACCAAAACAAATTTAATTAATGAGGAAAAGGGTATTTGTGGTGTCCATCATGATGTTTTCATATAGGTACACATTGTGGAATGGATGAAACAACCTCTTTATCATATTTATTTTTTCACATACTTGTATGTTTTGTGTGTGTGGTGAGAACATGTAAAATCTAATCTCTTAGTAATGTTCAATACACCATATGTTGCTATTAACTGGAGTCACCAAGACATACAATAGATCTCTTGAACCGATTTCTTCTAACTGAAATTTTGCATCCTTTGACCAACATCTCTTCAATCTCTCTCCATCCCAGGTTCTTTCGACGACCATTTTACTGTTCCTCTAGGTTCCACTTCTTACACTCCACACATGAGATCATGTGGCATTTGTCTTTCTGTGCCTGGATTGTTTCCCTTAACATAATGTCCTCTAAGTTTTTTCACATTGTCACAAATGAGAGGACTTCCTTCTTTGTTGTAAAGGTTGTATAGTACTTCATTACGTTCCTATCGTATACCACGTTTTCTTTGTCCATGCACCCATAGATGGGCAGTAAGGGTGATTCCACATCTTGGCTGTTATGAATAATGCGGCTGTAAACATGGGAATGCAGATATCTCTTCAACATACTGATTCCACTTCCTTTGGATACATGCGCAGTAGTTGGATTGCAGACACATATGGGAATTCTATGTTTAATTTTTTCAGGAACTTCCAGACTGTTTTCCATAATGGTTGTGCTAATTTACATTCCCATCAACTGCATACAAATGTTCCCTTTTCTCCACATCCTCGTTAACCCTTGTTATTTTTTATGTTTTTGATAATGGTCTTTTTTTTTTTTTTTTTTTTGAGACTCAGTCTTGCTCTGTCACCCAGGCTGGAGTGCAGTGGCACAATCTCGGTGTACTGCAACCTCTGCCTCCTGGGTTCAAGCGATTCCCCTGCCTCAGTCTCCAGAGTAGCTGGGACTACAAGTGTGCGCCACCAAACTCTGCTAATTTTTGTATTTTTAGTAGGGATGGGGTTTCACCATATTGGCCAGGCTGGTTTCGAACTGCTGACCTCAGGTAATCTCCCTGCCTCGGCCTCCCAAAGTGCCTGAATTACAGGCATGAGCCACCATGCCCAGACTGTTAATGGTCATTCTAAGAGGTGTGAGGTGATATCTCATTCTAGTTTTAATTTTTATTTAGCTGATGTTTAGTAATGCTAATCATTTTTTCATATACCTTTTGGTGATTTGTCTTATTCTTAGAAATGTTTATTCAGATACTTTGCCCATTTTTTTAAGTTGGGTTATTTGATTTCTTACCATTGAGTTGTTTGAGTTTCTTATATATTTTGGATATTAATTCCTTATTAGATGTATGGGTGCAAATATATTCTCCCATTCCATAGGTTGTCTTTCCACTTGTTGAGTTTTTTTTTTCTTTGCAGAAACTTTCAATTTGATATAATGTTATTTGTCTACTTTTGCTTTTGTTGCCTGGGCCTTTGGGTTAATATCCAAAATGGTTTTGCCCAAGCCAGTGGAGTTTTCCCTTGATTTCTTTTAGTAGTTTTTTTTTTTTTTTTAAGATGGAGTCTCACTGTGTTGCCCCGGCTGGAGTGCAGTGGTGCGATCTCGGCTCACTGCAACCTCTACCTCCTGGGTTCAAGTGATTCTCCTGTCTCAACCTCCCGAGTAGCTGAGATTACAGGCACCCACAACCACACCCAGCTGTTTTTGTATTTTTAGTAGAGGCGGGATTTCACCATGTTGGCCATGCTGGTCTTGGAATCCTGACCTTAGGTGATCTGCCCACCTTGGCCTCCCAAATTGCTGGGATTATAGTCTTTCATCTTACATTTAAGTCATTAATCTATCTTGAGTTGACTTTGTATGTTTTGTGAGGCAAATGTCCACTTCCATTCTTCTGCATGTGGACATGCAGTCTCCCAATCCCATTTATTAAAGAGACTGTTCCTTCTCCATTGTGTGTTCTTGACACATCCCAAAAATTGTTTGACCCTAAATGCATGCATTTTTTTCCTGGGCTATGAATCACTTCCATTGGTCTATGTGTCTGTTTTTATGCAAGTACTGTGTTGTTTTAATTACTGTAATTTTGTAATGTAGTTTGTGTTTAGGTAATGTGATGCTTCCAACTTTGTTCCTTTCCCTCTAGATGGCTTTGGTTATTTGAGATCTTTTGTGGTTCCACATGAATTTTAGGACTGTTTTTTCTATTTCTGTAAAAAAAATGTCATTGGATTTTTGATAATGGTTGCATTGAATCACTTTGGATAGAATGGACATTTTAACAACATTAATCCTTCTGATCCGTGAACATGGAATATCTTTCGATTTATTTGTTTATTTCTTGAGTTTTTTCATCAATGTTTTATAGCTTTTGCATACAGATCTTTCTACTCCTTGGGTGAATTTATTCCTGCATGTTTTGTTTTCTGTAGTTATTGCAAATGGGCTTATTTTCTTGTAAACTTTTTTGGATAGTTTGTTGTTAATGTATAGAAACTTTGTTGTTGTTGTTGTTGTTGTTTTGATGATACCCATCCTAAGGGGTATGAAATGGCATCTGGTGTAGTTTTAGTTAGTATTTCCCTAATGATTCGTGATGCTGAATATCTTTTCATGCGTATGTTCTTTGGAGAAATGTCTGTTTCAGTACTTTGCCCATTTTTGAATTGAGTTTATTGTGATTGAGTTTTAGGAGTTGTCTGTATATTCTGGATGTTAATCCCTTACAGGTGGTGTGGTTTGAAAACATTTTCTCCCATTCTGTGGGTTGTCTTTTTACTTTGATAATATCGTCTTAAAAGTTCTTTTTCCTTGCCATGTGAAGTAACTGATGTTGTCTTTTGAGTCACAATATTTCAAAATTTTCATAAAGTCTAACTTGTTTATTTTTTCTGTAGTAGCCTGTGCCGTTGTTGTCACATCTAAAGAATCACTGCCAAATCCGATGTTGTGAAGTTTTCCTTTGTGTTTTCTTCTAAGACTTTAATTAAATTTTATTTGTCAATATTTAGGACTGACAAAAGCTTTTTAACATTCCTGGCACCATCTCAGTTATTGATCTACTCCCAAGATGGATCATTTCAATTAAAACATGTAAAGCATGACCTCACCTGAATGTGTTTGAACTTGCTCTTCTCCCTTTCAAATCGACTCCCTCACTTACATAGTTTGTGTTCAAATGTCAACAAATAAAACATAAAAAGAAATCAATCTTTTCATAGACCCTTTATCTAAAATAGAATAGTAGGTGCCATGACATTTCATCCTTTCATCTTGAATTATTTACTTTTCTACATGAAACAATCCATTCTTCTGTGTGCATGTGTGTGTGTGTGTGTGTGTGTAGTTTATCTGTCTACATATAATGTAAACACCAAAAAATAACAGACATTTAGTAATTTTCAAATGAGACTTCAGGAATTAACAATGGCTTGCCATTTTTAGTGTGTTATTATTATTATATTTAGATGAACAGAATTGCCTCAGGAACATGGCCAGGGGCTCATAGTCCAGGAGAACTGTGGCCTGACTCAGGTACATTTTACCTGCAATAACAGCAATTGCAGGTCACTGGAGTCCATCACAATTGGCTGGAGACAAATGTAAGACAAGAATATTTGCAGTTTCCCCAGACTGACACAGTTGCAGGTTCCCCGAAGTAATGAGTCCTGAGACACCTCCAACAAGAGCTAGAAAAGGTATCACTTCAAGAGGAGTTGCAGCCTACTCATTTTAGACAAATGGAGCAAAATTACAGTATCACATCTTTTCCTTTCTCCTTCATAGAATCTGGATGAACAGAACAGAAAGAGTTAATGGAATATAAGATTCCAATTCTCTGGCATGAGAAAATAGACAAGGAAAGGAAGATTCATCTTCATCACATCTCAGACATGCTTGGACACAGGGTCCAAGCACAAAAGAGAAACACATACTTCTTCCCATCCACACTGGGATCCAGGGTCTTCTCCCTCCTGTCAGGCCAGAACTGAGTCTCCACTCCCCAATTTAGTTCCCAGAGATGAAGCCCAATTTTCCTCTGTCTCAAGCTTTGAAGGCCAGTTTTAGCGTGTTCACCATGGATGAATGAAGGTGAGGTCAGAGGTTTGGGAAATGGTCAAGAATGAGGTGAGAAGAGAGCTGTGGAGGCATGGCCCCGGGGAGCTTGGTACCCCCCCATATCCAGAGCCTGTCTGGTCCAGGAGAGTTCCCAACCCTGTGAGCACCAACTCCGGATATTCTGGGCAGTGACCCGAGGGACAGCCTCTTATGAATACAGGCTGTTTTCCTCCAGTGTCTGCTGTGAAACCAGGATGTACAACATGGCCGTGTTCAACCCAACAATGGACTTAGGATTTTGCTGTACGCCAAAACTCAGTGTCCAACTTCCACTCTGTTTAGCTGGAAAAAGAAGGGGTTTGTTCCCATACATCTCACTCCTGTGTTCCTCTTTCAGTCTCAAAGCTCAGATGAAAACAATGAGTGTCACTTATTGTCAATCCTCTTCCCTGCCTTTTCCACACTCATCAGTATTACCGTTTACATTGAGACTAAAGATGGCCAATCACCACTTTTCTTCGGAAAAATCAACCTGATGTTGTACCTACTTTTTTAGAGGTGGAATCAACCTACCCTAAGATGCCAACTACATTTTACTGAATGGACTTTTGTGGATCCCCTCGATGTATATAGTGGCACCTTGAGGTATCATCCCTGTCTTTAGCAAATGAATATTATCCCAAGGACAATATTTCATCACAATTATTCGGGATGGACGAGTGGATATTGTGGTAGCAAGAACATTACTAAAAGTCACAGCTGATACAACACACTTGAAACCCATCTGGCCAATCTCCCACAGACAGAATGTCGCGCCATTCACTCCAGCCAGCTTCAGTCATGTTTCTTCCATTTCCACCTGTGGCCCCTCATGTCTCCACCAGGTCTTAGCCAGCATTGCCAAAAGAGCCAGGAAGACCAGACCAGCCACAACAATCCTGATGGAACTCTCCACAGTATAGTTCTGGAGAACAGGGGCTGGAGGGTGGGGGTAAGATCAGAGACCTTTCCATGTGGGCCAGGCCCCTCTCTCCCCAGAAGCTCTGAAATGGAGCTATTTCCCCATCTCACCTTCATAAAATTCTTCCTGTCCAGAACCCCTCTTCTCCCTATATCATCATGAGCACCTTCAGAAGTCTTTTGCCACAAAAAGAAATTTCTTTTGAAGATATACATTTTTTTGTACATTTCAAAAATGTTCCCAAACTAATTCTCCAAAGCAATAAATGTTTGTGTGTATTGCTGGGTAGGTTATGTATACAAGGAAAGGAAGCATAGTGAGTCTGATTTGGCAGAGGAAACATATGTGGAAATTATATCATTTACTCTCTTTACAAAATTAAGTACAAAATTGAAAACACTGGTAAGAAAGAATGAGCTATAGAGAAAGAAAACATCTGAGATGCTTGTTTCCAAGATGGCTGACTAAATGCTTTTCTGGCATGTCTCATCCACTTAGAAGAACGAGCAGAATCCAGAACAAAAACCATATGATCATCTCAATAGACATAAAGAAAAGCATCTGAAAAGAAATTCAACATCCTTACCTGATGAAAACCCTCAAAAACTTAGGCATAGAAAGAACATACCTCAAAATAATAAAAGCCATAGATGACATATCTAGAGTCAACATCATACTGAACAGGAAAAGTTAAAAGCACTCCTCTGAGAACTGGCACAAGACAAGGACACGGACATCCACCACTTCCTATCAACATAGTACTGGAAGCCTTGTCAGAGCTATTGGGCAACAGGAAGAATTAAAAATCCAAATTAGAAAAGAGGAAGTAAAATTATTTTTATTTCTGATGCTATGATCTTAAATCTAGAAAATCCTAAAGACCCTGCCAAAAATTCTTATGATTGATAAATGAACTAAGTAAAGTTTCAGAATACAAAATCAATATGTAAAAGCCGGTAGCATTTCTCTACACCTATAATGATCTAGCTGAGAACCAAATCAAGAAGGCAATGCCGTTTACAATAGATACGCAAAATTAAAACACTCAGGAATACATTTAACCAAGGTGGTGAAAGATCTGTACCAGGAAAGGTGTAAGACACCAATGAAAGCAATTATAGATAATACAAAAAAAAAAAAAGAAAAAAAATCCCACGCTCATGGATCATAAGAATTAATATTGTTAAAATGACCATACTGCCTAAAGCAATCTACAGATTCAGTGCAATTCTTATATGAAAATAGTAACACCAGTTTTCACAGAATTAGAAAAAGCAATCCTAAAATTCATACAGAACCAAAAAAGATCCTAATAGAGAAAGCAATTCTAGGTGAATGTAGAAACCTGGAGGCATCACGCTATCTGACTTCAAACTATGCTCTAAGGCTATAGTAACTTAAATAGCACAGTGCTGGTATAGACACAGAAACAGAGATCAATAGACCAGAATAGAGAGCCCAGAAATACAGCCTCATATCTACAGTGAATAATCATTGACGACGTTAACAAAACATACACTGGAGAAAGATTTCCTTTTCAATAAAAGGTGCTGGGAAAACTAAATAGCCATATGCAGAAGAATAAAACTGGACCTGTATCTGTAATCATACACATAAATTAACTTAAGGTAATTAGCAGCTTAAATGTAAATCCAGAACTATAAAATCACCGGTGGAAACCCAAAGAGAAACTCTTCTGGGCATTGGTCTGGGCAAAGAATTCATCACTAAGACCTCAAAAGCACAGGCAATAAAAATAAAACTAGACCAATGGGACTTAATAAACGAAAGAGCTTCTGCCAAGCAAAGGAAATAGTAGCAGGGTGAACAGACAACCCACAGAATGAATGGAAATGTTTGCAAACTATGCACCCAACAGAGGACTAACATCCAGAATTTCTAGGCAACTCAAACAACTAAACATAACCCCTCAAATAATAGCATTAAAAAGTGGGCAAAGGGATATACATAGACATTTTTCAAAAGAAGACATACGAATGGCCAAACAGCGTATGAACATCACTAATCATCAGAGAAATGCAAATTGAAACCACAATGAGATATCATCTTACAGTAGTCAGAATGGCTATTACTAAAAATGCTGGTGGGGAGTGGTGGCTCACGCTTGTAATCCCAGCACTTTGGGAAGCTGAGGCGGGTGGATCATGAGGTCAGGAGTTTGAGACCAGCCTGACCAACATAGTGAAACCCCATCTCTACTAAATATACAAAAGATTAGCTGGGCATGGTGGTGTGGTTCTGTAATCCCAGCTACTCAGGAGGCTGAGGCAGGAGAATCATTTGAACCTGGTTGGTGGAGGTTGCAGCGCGTGGAGATGGCGGCACTGCACTCCAGCCTGGGTGACAGTGGAAGACTCCATCTCAAAAAGAAAAAAAGAAAAAGTGAAACATATAACAGGTGTTGGCAAGGATGCAGAGAAAAGGAAACTCTTATACACTGTTGGCCGGTATGTAAATTAGTATAGCCTCTATGGAAGACAGTATGGAAATTTGGCAGAGAACCAAAAATAGAAGCACCATTCGATCTAGGGGTCCCGCTGCTGGGTATCTACTCAAAAAATACCTGCACCTGTATGTTTATTGCAGCACTGTTTGCAATAGCAAAGATATGAAATCAATCTAAGTGTCTGTGAATGAATGATTGGATTAAAAAAAGGATGCGTGTATACACAACGAAATACTATTTGGTCATAAAAATAAAACCATGTCTTTTGCAGCAACATAGATGGAGCTGGACGCCATTATTTTACATAAAACCACTCAGAAAGACAAATACCACATCTTCTCACTCTACATGGGAGGGGAGTAATGTGTACATATGGACGTAGAGTGTGGAATGACGGACAGCGGAGGCTAGAAGGCTGGAGGGTGGCGGGACGTGGGTGAGTGATGAGAATTTGCTTAATGAGTACAATGTACGGTATTTGGGTGATGGATATAGTAAAAGTCCTGACTTCACTACTCTGCAACATACTCATGTCACAAAATTACAAGTGTACCTCATAAATTTATACTAATAGAAAAGAAAGTCTGTACACAGTAATCAATTGTGATATGTAGATAAAGTCAATATTAAATTTAAACCAGAATAACTAGTTAAAATGTTGTGTACACAACAGTGAAGAGAGTATTTATCCTCTATGACAGAGGAAACCATCAATATTAATGCACAGAAAAAGCAAATAACTGAAACAAGAAAGAGCAGTTTTGTGACAGGGTAAAAATTGACAACAGTTTTAGAATGCTCCTAACTTGAGTTCCAAAAAGAAAGAACGAGAAAACAGGTCAGAAGCAATCTTTAAAGAGGCAATTGTTGATTATTTGGAGGAAGTAGACACATCCATCAATCCACAGGTTCAAGAAATCCAGTGAATGCCAGGCAGAATGAAGTAAACACACCTCACGTTCAACATTACAGAAAAGCAGCATAAAAGCACAACCAACCCTTAAAATTAGCCAGAGGAAAAGGATCAGCTGGTAAGGATTTATAGGGAGCCAAGCATTGTCTTCCCCACAGAAAAAAGGAAAACATAAGCCAGTAGAATAGCATCTTTACCCAGCTAAGATACCGTCGCCAGCCACCGACAATTCCTTACATAGTACAGTTACTGTCCAAGATCAACGCAGGAAAGAAACAGAACTGAAAGACAAAAGGGCAAAGAAAGCTTTTCTCACTGACCCTAAAGGAAATTCTGATGACCGTGCCTCAAAGATAAAGAAAGTGAAACCAGATGGGGTGTCGAAGATTCTGACAATAACTAAGAGCAGAGGAAGAACTAAAAATATGGCTATGCCAAAAATGAATATGGACCATACGATAGTGTATGAAAACACGCCCCTGTGTAATTTCTGAAAAAGATAGAATTATGTATACCACAAAACAAAACATCATATAAGTAAATACAAACATATGTACTAAATATGCTCTAAAATCCTGTTCTTACACAGGAAGAGTGGAAATATGTTTTTATATTTGCAGTTTAATCTCTGAAATGATTAATTTCAATTTTAAAAATATGTAACAACTTCAGGATGAGTACACCATATATGTATTCCTAAACGACATAGATCAAAAATAGAATGTTTGAAATAGAAAACCACAGAAGTCAGTGGGAAAAAAAGGGAATCAGGAAAACACAACGTAATAATAACAAAAATATGATTGGAAGAACTGCTCAAACATGAACAAAAGATTGTCAGAAAGTCTTACTTTCTAAGGCGAATTGTTTGAAATTTACAAAGGACACATCTCAATGTTAACAATTCATGGAGTTTGAAATTAAACAATGTAGAAATATACCAAGCAATCACTGTTAGAAATGTGGTATAACTATATTAAAATTAGACAAAATTAGTCTTTGGGAAAAATCAGCGGAAAACATTAAGCATAAAATGTAGGAAAAAAGCAGGTAAATTTATAGCATTTTAAATTTACCAGGAATATATAATCAGTTTACACTTAACCACTCCCAGTAATATTCCTGCAAATATACATGGAGGAAGAGTCGCGGAAATAAATGGACAGGTAGGCAAATCCACGGCCACAGTGGGGTGTTTAACACTCCTCTTTTCTCAGTTGTTGATAGAAGTGGTTCAGGCAATTAGAGAGGATTTAGAAAGATAATTGCTGGACCTGACCCAAGGTATAAGTCCACTCCCAACCACAGGACTCACTTTCCTTACAAGCACAAGGGCATTTAGAAATCTCTCTGGATTCTGACCAGCCCTCACCATATGGCAGGTCCATGGACTTCTTGGAACACACCAAGCTCATTCTCACATTAGGGTCATCCCCAATGTCCTAAGTCCATGAAAGTTCCTTTCAACACACTCCCCAGGGCTCACTCCCTCTTGTCTCTAAGATCGGAGTTTAAATGTGATCTCTCTGATGAGGTCTCAGTGAGACGTTCCCTCCTGTACACTCCAAATGACAACGTTCCACGTTCATTCATTTCATTCTGTGCATGGCACTTTCACCAAGTGCTAAGGATTCACTCACTAATTCATACATTCATTCATTCATTCATTCACTCATTCCATCATTCACTCATTCATTCATTCTCTCATTCATTCATTCATGTTCTGCCTCTCTCTCCCACCCCACAGCAATGTGAGCATCATGAACCCAGGAGCTTGGCCGTGCTGTCTACTCCTGGCCGTGAAACAGAGAGAACTGATGGTAGGTGTGAAATAAATATTAGATGAATGAGTTAGTGAAGGGGTCATTTACTGGGTGAGCTCAGTTCTCTCTACTCTAATGCCCTCCCTCGGCTGACTTCCCTGAGTTGCCCCCTCGGCTGAGTGAAGTCCCTTCACTGGCAAATGGAACCTCAACCAGTAGCACCTAGGTGGTCTCATACTTTGTTCTTTCCCTCTCCTCTTGCTCCCTAAGGATTATCAATCTCCATGACAGGGCTGGAGAGCAGACAAGCCACACATTCTTTCTGGGGAGAGAGTAACATGGAGTACAAGGCATTCCACATTTAGGAAGAGAACTCAGTTATGGAAGGTCAGAAATGAAAAGTTCCTACAGACCAACACCCAGGTTGGTGGCCACAGCCCTAAATGCTGATGGAGAATCACTGCAAGTCTGTAGGGAAGATGTCTGGCTTGAGGCCACTGAGCGAAGTGGCAGATCCTTCTCAGCCTTCAGTGCTGAGCCTCTGTCCCCTCAGGGATCCACTGACCAATGAGAAGAGCCTCTTCTCATCTCCTGGGATGGAGCTTGGGGCCCCTGGCGAAGGAATGGGCCTGTTTCCACCTGTCATGTTGTCATCTAGCTTGGAAATCCTGCGAGTCCCAGGGAGGCCCTCCCCGAGTCCCCAGAGAAGACTCCCCCACTGAGTCTCCAAGGTGTGGAGAGAGCAAAAAACATCTAGGGTGGAAAATGCCTCCCATCAAGAGACATTGGGGCTCCCCCAACGATGGTTGCATCTGTGCCCCCCATGTGGAAATCACTCTTTGGTGAGAGGTGGGGGCTTCTGGAAATGGGCAATGGCGGGCGGCCAATGCTACCTCTAGTCTTTCCAATCTGAGCCCGGCCTTTCATGCTCCTGAGTCAGCATTGATGCTGTTTACATGTGTCCCAGGTGGGCTTCTGTACAAAGACTGGGAAGTGGTTTATGTGGCCTGTGCTCTATCTGCAAGCTTCAGGTAGGGTTGCAGTTACCACCCCAAACCCTAATGTGATCTGTCTGCCTCGCTCTGTCTGTCTGTCTATGCCTCTTTCTGTATGTTTGCTTTGTGTCTCTTCTGTCCAGCATCTCTGGCTGACACCCCCATGGCCACCCCCTCCATCTGAGGCTCCCCTGAATGTGGCCATTGTAGTCCATCTGAGTCCCACTATTTGGGGAACAGACTGGTTTCCTCACCTGTGACAGAAACAAGCAGTGGGTCACTAAGGTCTGACCACTCGTAGGGAGAGTCACGGAAAGAGCCGAAGCATCTGTAGGTCCCTCCGTGGGTGGCAGGGCCCAGAGGAAAGTTGGCCTGGAAGGTTCCATTGACCTTGGGCACTGCAGGGAACCTAAGTTCATGAGCCTCCCCCTCCCTTGATAGATGGTAGATGTCATAGGAGCTCCGGGAGCTGCAGGACAAGGTCACGCTCTCTCCTGCCTTAACCATGGGGCGCGGCTGGGCTGAGAGAGAAGGTTTCCCACATAGACCTGGAAGGAGAAGAGGCAGTTTCCTCAGGGAGGTTCTTCCTTGTCACAACTCCCCTCCCACCTGAGCTGAGAACTCACTCCCCTGCTCTATGGCCTAATGCTCTCTCTCTCTGTCTCACCCTCCACACCATCTCTCTTTATGTCTATTTCCTCTTTCCACCTTCTCTGTCTCTCTAGGTCTCTGACCTCACTTTCTCACCTCTAGATATGTTTTCCCTTTTTGGATTGTTTTATTCTCTCTGACTCTCCTTGGACTAGTTGACTTGATGTTACTTTTTTTAAATTCTGAGTTTCTCACTTTGTGTCCTGTTCATAACTTTCTGCATATTTCTATCTATTATCTATCGATATATCTATTTATCTATCTGGTGCCTATCTACAAATTCTCTACCTGTCATCTATATCTATATATAATCTATTTATCTATCAATTGTCTATCCAAAAATCATCTATTATCTATATCTATGTATCATCTCTCTCTCTCTATGATTTCTCTTTGTCTGCCTCTCTATCTCTATGTATTATCTATCTATCTTCATCTTCATCATCTCTATGTATCATCGATTAATCAATGAATGAATCGATCATCATCTATGTATCTATAACCTATTATCTATCATCTACCTATTTATCATCTATCTATATCTATCCATCTATCATCTGTCTTGCTCTGCCTCTCGGTCTCTCTAGTTCTCTTTGGAATCTCTGCAATTCATCCCCACATCTCCATCTTTCTATGTCCTTGTGCCTCTCCCTCAGGACTCTAATTTTAGTGCTTTTCTCTGTTCCCTTCCATTGTTCTCTCCACTTCTCTGCCCTCTTTTCTCCCTCTTTATGTGTCTGTGAGTCTCTCAATCTCCTTCCTCTGGCTCATTCTCTGTGTGTTTATGTCTTTGCTTTTTGGTGTCCCTGATTTCTCTCTGTGTCTCTCAGTGATCCTCTCATATGTGGGGTTATTTGGAATGTGAGCCTCAGAATCCAGTCTGGGGACCGCAAGTTCACACAGTATACAGGGGTTGATGTTCTGGGGCCATGATATCCTGGGACGATTACTCTCCATTGCATGGAAGGCAGAGGTGTCAGAATAAACACGGCATCTGTAGGTGCCAGAAGGCCTGAGGCCACAGGGCCCAACTCAGGCCAGAAATATGGGTGTCCTTGGGTTCTTCTGGTAGAGAACACTTTGTGGAAGTAAAACAGAAATGAAACTTCTAACCTGTGCCAGGTCTCTGAGCAAAGTCAGCATGGAAGGACACCTCTCTCTGGCACATGTCTGTCTGTGTCTCCTTTAACTCTTTCTGTCTTTTCTAACTCCCTGTATGGCCCCTGTGTCTGTCCTCTGTTATGACACCTGGTCTGTACTTGTGTCTCCTGTTTCTCTGTCTCTGTTGGTACAGACCTCACCAAATTAGTCTCTCTCCATAAGAATACCAAGCTCATCTTCCTTATAACCACCTGGGCCTCCAAGTCGTGGATCATTCACTCTGTGTCCCAGTGACAATGAGAATAATGTCCAGACACTCTCACCTGTAATCACGATGTCCAGAGGGTCACTGGGAGCTGACAACTGATAGGGGGAATGAGGAACAGAACCGTAGCATCTGTAGGTCCCTGCAAGGTCTTGCGTCATGCGACCGATGGAGAAGTTGGCCTTGGAGACCCCATCATGGAGCTCTCCAGTGAGGCGCAAAGTGTCATTAAACTTCCCCTCTCTGTGCAGAAGGAAGTGCTCAAACATGACATCTGACCAACATTGCAGGATGACTGTCTCTTCTGATTTCACCAGGGGACCTGGGTGGGCCAGGAGGGAAGGTTTTCTGTGGACTCCTAGGAAGAGAGGTTGTGACTTTAGAAGGCATCTCTCTTTATCATCCCATCCATGGCACCTAGAATGAGTGAGGCTTCCCCTCGCTGGTGTCTTATCTCTCTCCTTCCTCTCTGTGTCTTCATGTTCTTTTCTGTGCCCATAACTCCTGGTACAGGTCCTTCCATCTGTCTCCCTCCCTCTTCTCTGTCCCTCTGTCTCTAGTAGCTCCTGATTCCCTTGCCGCTGGGCTCAGCCTCATCTCTTGGGCTGTTGTATCTATTTCGAACTAATGTCTTTCCTGCTTCTATGTGGGGGTGGAAGAGGAACCAGGATAGGCTGCACGTCCAGGCTCTTAGCAGACTGGTTCAATCTCTTTTGGACGAATTGGAATCCTTGGCAGAAGGTATGAACTGATCAGTAAGGCAGGCACCAGTGTCCACACACCCTGTTCCTGGTGGGGACTGGGAGCCACTCTTGCCATGCCTGTGCCTTCTCCATGGTGCCAGCTTCCATAGGCTGGCTTCTGGTGCTGGTTTGAGGAGTATCAACCCCTCCCTATGTGGATGGAGCCTGGTGGTGGCATCATCATCCCACCCTTGCTGATCTCGGTGTAGCCAACCTTCTCTTTGTTTGGTTTCTTTAATTAATTAATTAATTTTGGAGTCAGAGTCTCACTCCTTCACCCAGGCTGGAGTGAAGTGGTGTGGTCTAGGCTCACTGCAACCTCTGTCTCCTGGGTTCAAGTGATTCTCCTGCCCTCAGCCTCCTGAGTTGCTAGGATTACATGCACCTGCCACCACGCCCGGCTATCCTTGTGTCCTTTCTTATCTTGTCCTTGACCTGGGTTCCAGTGTTGGTTTCCTGTTGGTGCTGTAGAAAATTATCAGAAGCATGGCAGCAGGAGAGAGCACACTGACCCCTTCCGTTTCTGGAGACAGAAATCGGACCCTGTTTTTTGAGGGCTAAAATCAAGGCATCTGCAGGGCTGCGTTCCCTCTGGAGACCCAGGAGAATCAGTTCCTTGACTTTTCCAGCCTCTATAGGCCACCTGCATTCATGGCTCATGGCCTTCCTCCACCTTCAAAGCTGATGGAGACTTCCATTGCACTGCTCTAATCGCCACTCCCCTCTTCCTTCTCCTCTCATGTGCACCCTTGTGATTACACTGAGCCCAGCAGGACAGTCCAGGCTGTCTCCCCATCTCAAGGTCAACTCAACAACCTGAGCTCCATCTTCCCCTTCAGTGCCTTCCCCTATAACATAAATAGTCACAGACTGCAGGGATTAGAATGCAGTCATCATTGGGGACAATTATTCTTTCCACCACAGCACCCATTTCCCTGTATTCAATCCCCTTTTACCCCAAATACAGTTAGGGTCTGGATGATGGGACGCTGGTGGACACTCCCACCAGAAGCTCTGGGACTCAGGAGGTGGGACAAGGAGAATCCCAGACAGGAGCCCTCTGACCTGTGACCATGATCACCAGGGGGTTGCTGGGTGCTGACCACCCAGTGAGGAAGTGTGGGTGTGAACCCCGACATCTGTAGGTCCCTGCATGTGCTGGGGTCACAGGGCCTATGAAAACGGTGTTTCGGAATACTCTGTTGTAGAGCTCAGGGACAGGCATCCCGTCTTCTTTGGACAGACTGAATTCGTTAAACCCAAGACGAGAGCGACACTGAAGAGCCACATGTTCTCCTTCAGACACCACAGGGCTGGGCCAGGCAGAGAGGAAGGGCTTGTCCTGACCACCTGGGGGAGAAGGAGGCGCCACCTTAGAGAGGAGGATGTGGAGCCGCCCCTCCCTCCACGTGTCAGAAGATTCTCCCATTTCCACTTTCTAAGGCTCCTACCACACCTGGGTGCCCAGGGCTACAGGAAGGACCCACCCCGCATAGACTTGGCGTCTCTCTACAACAAAAGTGTCAGCTGAGAACTTTGAGCAAGTGCTGAGTAAGGGACTCCTACTAGATTTTAATCCTGCAAGATTACTCACATAAAACAACACAAATAGACATGGAGTCGAGGGCATGTTCTTTGTGAATGGAATATCAGCCAATGTGTGAACCACAATACACAACTGAGCCCCCAACAGAGGATTTGGAAGGTCAGGGCCCTGGCTGGGGTTCCCCCACCTCTGAGGTAGAATGACAGCAGCCACACTGCAGCCCCTACCGTCATGGAAACGCTGGAGGGTGTGAGTTACACCTTTGTCCTCAGAGGCCTGCTGTTCCTAGCACTGCTTTGCTCCCTTCCTCTGCCAGTGACACCACATCCCAGCCGCACAGCCCAGCTTGGAGGACCCCAGTCTACCCTCCCGGGTTCCCACAGAACCTGACTCAGCCAAGGGAAAGGAAGGCTGGGGAGGGCAAGGTCGGAACTGTGGGCTGAGCACCCCAGGGTCTCCTCATCCTTGTTTATAAGAAAATCCCCCACCGGGCTTCCCTCCTGTTTCAGGAAAATCCTCTTATGTGGGGAGATGACACCCTAAGGTTTGGAGAAGGACTCACCCTCATGTGTCCAGGCCCCCTGCAGCAAGAAGAACCCTGGAAAGAAAGATCATGATGGACCATCCATCTGCAGGCAAACCAGGACTCCCTTGCTGCCCCCACTGGGCTGTGAGTCTTGGTAGCCAGGCCCTTGCTGGGCTGAAGGGAAACTCACCCTCAGTGCCAGCCTGCACCCAAGAACAGGGCTGTCGGCTGTGTAGAGACCCAGCCTGCAGGCCCATATCCGCACCCCAGGCCCCTATCCCCACCCCAAGCCCATATCTCCACTCCAGGCCCATATCTCCACTCCAGGCCAATATTTCCACCCTAGACCCATATCTCCAATCCAGGCCCATATCTCCACCCCAAGCCCATATCTCCACACCCAGGCCCATATCTCCATCCTAGGCCCATATGTCCACTCCAGGCCCAGATATCCACCTCTAGGCCCATGTCTCCACCTCCAGGCCCATATCTCCACCTCCAGGCCCATGTCTCCACTCCAGGCCCATATCTCCATCCCAGGCCAATATCTTCACTCCAGGCTCATATCTCCCCTCCAGGTTCCTATCTCCACTCCAGGCCCAGATCTCCACTCCAGGCCCATATCTCCACCTCCAGGCCCATATCTCCACTCCAGACCCAGATCTCCACTTCTAGGCCCATCACTCCATCTCCAGGCCCATATATCCACTCCAGGCCCAGATCTCCACTCCAGGCCCATAACTCCACCTCCAGGCCTATATCTCCACCTCTGGGCCCAGATCTCCATCCCCGCGCTCCCTCCCTCTATTCCTTTCCAGGACTCACCAACACACGCCATGCTGACGACCATGAGCGACATGGTGCTGCCGGTGCAGACAGGCAGCCGCGCCCCAGCTCAGCTCAGCAGCGCACAGGATGTTATTTGGCGCCCTGCCCATGCAGCTTACATGTTGACTACATCATGGGAGGGTGACGTACGCAGGCTCTTTCTACCTTGCATGAGGCCCAGTGGATGCTTGCTCAAGAGCGGAACACGGCTTCCTGGAAATTGTTCTCACTAGAATTGGCACCTCACGTCCTTCACTATGACCAACTCACAACACGTCTCAGATCCAACCTCCCGAACACAAGATGCCTAAAATCTGTGCTAACGTGAAAGACTTTTCATGTATTTTTATCCGAACACGAGATGCCTAAAATCTGTGCTAACATGAAAGACTTTTCATGTATTTTTTTTGTTTTTATCTGAGATTCAAACTCTTCTTCCTGTGTAATATGCAAAGTATCTAATAGGTATTATTAATGTTTTCGGAGTCATTGTGACTAATAAACCATTAGAATTTTTCATGCTTGTATTTCTAGTATTACAGCAGAACCAGCTAAAATGATTTAAATTCCCAGGGAAGGATTATGCAATTATTTACAATCTTAGAATTGTACTTTATCAGCAAAAACCACACCTGTAAATTCTGGAGTTTTGTAGTTTAATCTAAAATTTGTCTCATGACCCAAGATTCCAGAGTCCCAACTCTGGAGTTTGCTCTCTGTCTGTCTCTCTCCCTCCCTCGTTTTAAATTTTACAGAAATATCCAGTAACATAATGCTATAGAAAATCAAGTTTTCCCCAGCACGTTGGGAAGCCGAGGTGGGCGGATCAACTGAGATAAGGAGTTTGAGAGCAGCTTGGCCAATATAGTGAAACCGTGTCTCTGTTAAAAATCCAAAAATTAGCCGTGCCTGGTGGCAGGCACCTGTAACGCCAGCTGCTCAAGAGGCTGAGGCACGAGAATCGCTTGAACCTGGGAGGCGGAGGTTGCAGTGAGCTGAGATTGTGTCACTGCAGTCCAGCCTGGGCGACAGAGCAAGACTCCGCCTCAAGAAAAAAAAAGCAAACAGCCTATAATAACAAATTAGAGGGCTCTGGCTACTAAATTTAAAGGGTTCTATAAGGCTACATAAAGTGCAGCATCATCAAGAGTGTGGACACAGAGAGCCCCTTAGCAGAAACAGTGTCTAAAATACATCCATGTACACACAGTCCCTTTAGAGTTGACAAAGGCTGCCGTGTGGTTTAAGGTGGCATAGAATGTCTTCTCAATAAATAATATTAAACCAATTGGTTACACCTAGGAAAAAATAAATCTAACTCACACTATAAAAACACTTCTTAGTTTTTATCTAGTTGTACATTTTTTATGATTTATATTTAAATTTGAGAAATAAAAGTCATATACGGTCATCCTTCACTATTCGTGGGTGATTGGTTTTGAGATCTCCACTCAGATACCAAAATCTGTAGATGCTCAAGCCTCTTATATGAAATGGCACAGAGTTTGCAAATAACCTATGCACATCCTCCTGTATACATGAAATCATCTCTAGATTACTTATAATTCCTGATACAGCCTACACACAGCTTCATTTGTGTCCATTCAACATAGTTATGCTTTTTGAAACTCTGTGGATACTTTCTCTCAATATTTTTGATTTATACTTGGTTCAATAAACACCTGTAAACCCCGCAGATATGGAGGAGTGACCGTATATTTATATTATGAAAGATGATGTGTTGATATGTGTCCCCATGGAGATGAGACTAACAAGGCCTATGATTCTACAAATGTTTCATTGTGGAATGACTCTGCCAGCTTTCCAGGTCTGCAGAGAGTAAGAGTATCACTTGTTCATATGATTCGTGATCCTTGGAACCTCCTATGTGCTACATCTTTGGATGGAAATTGGAGTCTCAGAGACAAATGAGGCTCCACCCTGCTTCCAGAAACTCAGAGTCCGGGGATGAGAACTCAGTGGGGAACAGATGGGATTATATGGACATGGTACTGATAACACCGGAAGCCTTAGGCAAGAAAAGAGTCCCATTACCGAAACCATGGGGGCAGACATGTTTATTTGAAGGATGGAAAACTACATTGAAGTTATTTTAAAAAATATATAAGTTTTACTGCTGACAGAAGACTGAAAGCTAGTCTGAGGGGAGGTGGAACAGCATGAGGGAAGGTGGAACAACACGTGTCTAAGTGCTGCGTTAAGAGGGAGCCTCTTGTATGTTTGGAATTGTGAGTTCCTCAGTGTGATTGCAGCCTCAAGTAGACTAGGAAGTAAGCCAGTTAGGTTGGAGAGGTGGGCAGGGGTCAAGTGAAATGGAGAACTGTGGGCTAAGCAAAGGAGTGTGTTTTTTCTCCAGCAGGCAGTGGGGACCTTAGACATTTGTAAGCAAGWGAGAGGCAYRTTCAGATTYGTGGTGTGAGGAAGAGCGATGCCCTAAGATGCAGACTCATGCCTTCAGATTCCAGCTGCTGGTACATGGGAGCTGGCAACCCGGTTTTGAGACAGGGCTGTTGTCTCCCTAGAAGACGCCCTCAAGGCCTGACTGTGGTGCTCATGGGCAGGAGACAACTTTGGATCTGGACTCAGCATTTGGAAGTTCCGTGTACACGATGATATCTGTTGGGGGTGTCTTGGGCCTCTGAGAAGGGCGAGTGATTTTTCTCTGTGTGAAAACGCAGTGATTCAACTGTGTGTATGTCACCTCCTGAGGGTCTTGTTCATCAGAGTCCTGGAGAGAGGGAAATGCTGAGTGAGGGAGGGTGCTCACATTTTCCAGGACTCTTTGGGAATAACAGTAGCCACGAGCCCGGGCCGAGGAGTACCTACCTCGCTATTCGCTGTTCTGTTCCCTGCAGACTCTTGGTCCATTACCGCAGCATCTGTAGGAGACGGAAGTCAACAAAACAGCTCGGAGGGCACTTCTGGGTCCTCATTTCATAAGCAGATACCAACATACAGGGGGAGACCATAGGTGGCTGAGGTCCCTCAGTTGCCAACAGCAGACTCAGACATTCTATCTCTCTGAGCTCAAGGACCCATCCCATGAATAGCTCTGAGTTCCCATCCCATTGATTCTGTCTCCCACTTTCTGCCTGTCATGGAACCTTCTCCTGGATGTGAGTGGCTGCAGGGGACATGAGGATACAGTTCAGAATCAGGCAACGGTCTGTGAGTTGAAGGCAGGGGCAGGGAGTCTGGTGCCCTCTCTAGAAAGTCCTGCCTCTGTGGCTGCTGCCTTGGGCCAGGGACCATCCTGTTTGTGAGGAACACACACCTGAGTGCTCCCATCCTGCTTCCCCACATGGCCCTGAGCTCTCTGGCCTCTGCTTCGTGAGACTTACTTTTTTTGTTGGAGCACCAGCGATGAAGGAGAAAGAAGAGGAGGATGAAGAGGATGATGACCACTGAGGTCCCAATCAGAATGTGCAGGTGTCGGGGGTTACCTGGAAGAAGATGAGACACCAATAAGAAGCTAATCTTAGCAGTTCCTCTTTATGAATTGTCTCGCATTTCTTGATTGACAGGTAACCACATAAAACATCTCTTTAGGACAAGCACCCAGATGGCAGGAGACCCAGCTTTCTCCTGCTTTTTCAGTTATAGCTCTCATAGTAACCATAGAACGTGCTGAGGATACGACTACTTTAGTTGAGATGTTTGACCCCTTCAAACCTCACATTGAAATTTCACCCCCACTGTGGGAGGTTGGGCCTCTTGAGAGGTGTTTGGGTCATGGAGGTGGATCCATCATGAACACATCAATGCTGTCCCAAGGAGACGGGGTTAGCAAGTTCCCCCTCTATTAGTTCCCGGAGAGCTGGTTGTTAAAAAGAGCTTGGAAGCTCCATCACTCCCCCTCCCCCTTGCTCCCTCTCTTGCCGTGTGATCTCTGTGGTCTCTGCACAGACAGACCCTCCTTCCCTTCTGCCAGAGTGGGAGCAGCCTGAGGCCGTCACGAGAAATAGATGCTGGTGCCATGCTTCCAGTACAGCCTGCAGAACGGTGAGGCAAACCAATCTCTTTTCTTTAGAAGTTACCGAGGCTCAAGTGTTCCTTTAGAGCAACAAAAATGGCCTAAGACAGCAACTTCCTGAGATCAGGAGGAACGTCTCAGAACACCCTGGGCTGTCTTCCTGTTCTTCCTGGAGGACGTCATGCAGTGCTTTAGCTGAGTGCTTCCTGTGGCTCCAGGGTACAAAACCCAGGCTGGGCTGCTTTCTGGCTTCCCGCAGCTACACTGCAAATGGGGTGACTCCATATGTCCCGAGGAGCTTTTCTGAGCCTTGAGGGACTGGCTCACATTGAAATATAGGTTTCTGTTGTCACTCGCTGCTTATCTGTTAGTAATGAACCTGCCTATGTAACGTATTCTCTGTGTGTTCTGTCTCCCTGGAGTGACGGTGAGTGATAGGAATTGGCATAGGCCCAGGTGCAGTCCAGGAGGTGTTTAGAGTCTTCTCTGGGAAGACTGGACTGGGATTGATTCACAGCGAATGTGCTTTAGGGTTTCTACATCCACAGCATTCTTGAATCAAACAACTTGCATTCTCCAAGGAAAGAAAACAAAAGTGAAATCAAGATAAAAAAAGCGAAATAGAATTCTCTTATGTCAAACGGCCAGGAAATAGTGTTGAAGCCCGTGTGAAACCTGCTGCTCTTTGTGATCTCGGGAGACACATATTAGGCTGCTGTTCTACCCGAGAGGCTGGGGGAAGGACCACCCCCTCGGCCATCTATTGCTTCAATACCACCTGTCCTCCTGTGAATTAGTAGGAAAGGGGAGCAGGAGCTAGTGCTGTCGCTGATCTCTGATTCCAAGATCTGGACTCACTCCAAGGAGTGTTAATGTTTACCTCCCCATGGTCTACCTGAATCTCCACAGGTGATTGGAAGTAGGGGTGAGGTGGGGGATTTGGGTGAGTGGGCAAGTTTTTTTTGTGATGACCAGAGCACTTTCTCTATTCCAGGATCTGTGCTGGAGGATTCAGCGGACTTTCACATTTTCTATATGATCTCATGCTCACAGAAAGCCAAATAGGGAAGAGGTTTTAGGCTCATTGCCTAATGGATAAGATAAAGGATCAAAGAAGTAATTATAGAGAAATAGAAAAATCATGATTGGAATTCAGGTCCCTTTGTCATTTGCGTGTGTTATATTATATTTATATTTATGCATTTCTTATTTTTATTTTTTGAGACGGAGTCTCCTTGTGCCACCCAGGCTGGAGTGCAGTGATGCAACCTCCACTCACTGCAACCTCCACCTCCTGGGTTGAAGTCATTCTCCTGCTTCATCCTCCAGAGTAGGAGCTGGGATTACAGGGATGCACCACCATGCTCGGCTAATTTTTGTGTTTTTCCTAGAGACAGGGTTTCACCATGTTGGCCAGGCTGGTCTCGAACTGCTGACTTCATGTGATCCACCCGCCTTGGCCTCCTGCAGTGCTGGGTTACAGGCGTGAGCCACCGTTCACAGACTTGTATATTATGCTATAATAGGTCTCTTCATTTCCACCACCCCTCATATATCTGTCACTCCTTTGCCAGGTATTGATTTATGTGTAGGATGAATAAATCTCAGAAAGAAATTAATTAAGCGAGGATTAAACAAGTAGGAAAATCAAACCCAGCAAGCCTTTCCAGTCAATGATTCTACCTCACAAACCTATCTTATATCCATCTACTTCATTCATTTAGTGTCTAAATCAGCACCACATTTCACCAGTGGGGCGGCAATTGCCTTTTCCACGGTCTCCTAGATTCCAGTTATGCAACTGAGCCTCCCTTATTTTCATGTCAGTCATATTAATCATGTAGGGATTCCTGGCTACCCCGAGGTGAATCCAATGGCTGTGAGTGTCAAACACACACTCCTTGTTCCTCCTTAGTTTCCTGTGTACCCAGTGTGCTCTCCGTCTCTCCACAGTCATCTTGTCATTCTCCCCACATCATTCCCAGCATTTGAGGAAGAGCCTCTTCCTTCCACATCAGATTGTTTTCACCTTTGTGCCTTCACGGCTGACAGCTGTGTGTGCAAAATCCTTCCGCCAATCTTTCAGGGGTTCAATCCGTGTTTTTCATTAATGTCACAAATATCTGAATAGTGAGACCTTCTTTGTCACCTGAAATCATACACTCAGCATTATCTATTATTGATTTTGAATTCTGGCTGGGCACAGTGGCTCACGCCTGTAGTCCCATTACTTTGGCATGCTGAGACGGTCGGATCACTTGAGGTTGGGAGTTTCAGACAAGCTTGGCCAACGTGGTGAAACATCCTCTCTACAAAAAATATACAAAAAGAATTAGCCGGGCACGGTGGCAGTTGCCTGTAATCCCAGCTACTCGAGAGGCGGAGGCAGGAGAATCACTTGAATCCAGGAGAAGCAGGTTGCAGTGAGCCAAGATCGTGACACTGCACTGTAGCCTGGAAGACAGAGGGCAACTCTGTCTCAATAAACAAAAGAACAAACAAAAAATAGATTTCATGCACAGATGCTTCCCAATGGATCATTCATTTATAGATCCACTTGTGCATTCATTTTCTGCCCTCCCATTTAACCATCTGCAATATCAGTGTCCCAAGGGCAGAGGCCAAATGCATCTTGTTCACTGTTTGTGGAAGGCAGGAGAATGCTGTCCCACCCCAAAATGTCCCTGTCCTAGCCTCCATACCTTGTGAATATGTTATTTTACATGGAAAGGAGGAATGAAGATTGTAGATGGAATTACGGTTGCTAATCAGCTGAACTTAAAACAAGGGTATCCTGGATGATTTCCAGGAGATTATGAGGGATTTTCATCTTGGTGAACCCAATAGAATCCCCAAGTTTTCAAAAGATAAGGAAGAAGGGAGAGCAGCATTCAGAGAAAGAGGTGTGGTAAGGAAGAAGGCACTGAGTGATGCCATGTGAGATGTGACCAGTCTTTGTGGGTTTTGAGGAAGGAGGAAGGGGACCAGGAGCCAAGGAACTGGGAGCCTTTAGAAGCTGGGACAAGTGAGAAGCAGATTCTTGCCTGGAATCCTCAGAGGGAAGGCAGCCTTGCTGTCACCTTGATTTTAGCCCAGTAAGATGCACTTCCTACTTTGAGCTACAGCACTGTAAGATAATTAAAAAACCGTTTTGTTTTCACCCACGAATCTTGTGGAAATTTGTTATGGCAACAATAGGAAAAGGTTCCGCACTGCACAGCCTGAGCATGGGGCCGTGGCTGAATGAGTCAGTGAGTCGAAGTGTGCGTGCATGAGCTCCGTTCTCTGTTACGGCAAGGCTGTTGCTCTGCTGAGTCAGCCAGGGTTGCTTCATGACCAACAGTAATTCATTCCTTGGCAAGTGGAACTTCTCTAAAACACCTCGCCCTCATCAGATGTTCCCTTCCCTTCCCTCTCTCAAGCCCCCAGGAATTTATCCTCCAGTTAGGAATGCAGGCAGAACAAACATTGCATTTTTCCTGAGAAGGATGTCAGATTGGCAATCATTCTTCTAGCTTGTAGGAGGTCTCAGCTCCATAAAATGAGAGATTAAGAGATTTCACTGAGCCCTAGGTTGGGCCCAGATCCCTTTCGCTGTTGGAGTATCTGGAGTTCGGAGATGGTAGAAGACAGGCGTACAATGTCAGAGCTGCGAGATGCTGAGTCAATGCCTGCATCGAAGGTTTCTACCTCCCCAGGTTTCCAAAAGCGGATATAAGAGGGTTCTGTACTCACCGGTTTTAGAGCTTGGTTCAGTGGGTGAAGGCCAACTATTTGAAGGGTTTCCTAGAACATGAGACAGGAGAGAGGTGAGGAAATGAGGGTGTCTGTCCTCTACTCAATGGAAATCTTTGAGGTTGGTTCATGGCCAACACTCTGTTATCTAATATTGGGCCCTGGGAGTCCTGGGATCCTTTTTTCCATAATTTTTGTATGTGACGCCCATTGTCTTGAGACTTCAAGGTATAAAGAGAAAACAGGAGCATCACACTACCTGATCTCAAAATATGTTACAGAGCTGTAGTAAGCAAGACAGCATGATGTTGGCATGAAGAAAGGCACATAGAACAATGGAGCAGAATGAACAACACAAATATAATCCATGCATTTACATCCAATGTTTTTTTCTTTTTTCTTTTGAGATGGAGTCTCGCTCTGTCACCCAGGCTGGAGTGCAGAGGTGCAATCTCGGTTCACTGCCACCACAGCCTCCTGGGTTCAATCAATTCTCTGGCCTCAAACTCCTGAGTAGTGGTATTATAGGTGCTGACCACCATGCTCAGCTAATTTATATATTTTTAGTGGAGACAATGTTTCATCACGTCGGCCAGACTAATCTTGAACTCCTGGCCTCAGGTGATCCACCCGCCTTGGGCTCCCAAAGTGCTGAAATTGCAGGTGTCAGTCACCATGCCCAGCCCATCCAATGGACTTTGACAAAGGTGCCAAGAACTCACAATCAGGAAAGGACAGTCTTTTCAATAAACAGTGCAGGGAAACCTGGACATCTACATGCAGAGGAATGAAACTGCACCTCTACCTGTCACCATACACAAAAATCAAATGAAAATGGATTAAAGATGTGAGTCTAAGGCCTGAACCTATGAAACACGTAGAAGAAAATATTGGGGAAATGCTCCAGGACATTTGTCTGAAGGAAGACATTTTGTTTTAAACCTTCAAAACACAAGTAATCGAAGCAAAAATAGACCATTGGGATTACCTCAAGCTAAGCAACTTCTGCACCGCTAAAAATAAACCAACAAAGTGAAGAGACAACCCACAGATTGGGAGCAAATATGTGCAAACTATGCATCTGAGATGGGATTAATAACTAGAAATATAAGAAGCTCAAACAACTCAATAAAACAAATGATTTAATTGAAACAGGAGCAAAAGACATGAAATTTCCCCACATACGAAAAACTGCTCAGTATCACTCATCATCAGAGAAACGCAAATTAAAATCAAAGTGAGTTTTCATCTCACCCCATTAAAATGGCTTTTAGGCCGGGCGTGGTGGCTCACGTCTGTCATCCTAGATCTTTGAGAGCCTGAGGTGGGTGAATCTCATAAGGTCGGGAGTTTGAGACCAGTCTGACCCACATGGAGAAACACTGTCTCTACTAAAAATACAAAAATTAGTCGGGCGTGGTGGCGTGTGCCTGTAATTCCAGCTACTCGGGAGGCTGAGGCAGGAGAATCGCTTGAACCTGGGAGGTGGAGGTTGTGGTGAGCCGAGATCGCACCACTGCACTCCAGCCTGGGTGACAAGAGCGAAACTCCATCTCAAAATAAAATGAAATAAAGTAAAATGGCTTTTAGCTGCAAGACAGGCAAAGGAAATCCTGCCAAAGTGGTAGAGAAAGGAGAACCCTAATACCCTGTTGGTAGGAGTGTAAATTAGTACAGCCTTTACGGAGAAAAGTGTGGAAGTCCTTTAAAGAACTAAAAAGAGGTTGGGTGAGGTGGATCATGCCTGTAATCCCGGCACTTTGGGAGACCGAGGCGGACACCTCAGTTGAGGTCATGAGTTTGAGAGCAGCCCAGCCAACATGGGGAAACCCCATCTATACTAAAAAAACCAAAAAGTAGCCAGGCATGGTGGCGTGCACCTGTAATCCCAGCTACTAGGGAGGCTGAGGTAGGAAAATCATTTGAACCCAGGAGGCAGAGGTTGCAATGAGCCAAGATGACATCACTTGTACTCCAGCCTGGGCACAGAGGGAAACTGTCTCAAAAACAAAAACAAAACAACAAACGAATAACTAAAAAGAGAACTTTCATAGTATCCAGCAATTTCACTACTGGGTTTATATCCAAAGGAAAGTAAATCAATATATCGAAGTGATATCTGCACTCGTATGATTGGTGCAGCACTGTTCACAGTAGCCAAGATGTGGAGTCAACCTACCTGCCCATCAGTGGATGAATGGATAGAGAGAATGTAGTACATACGCACAGTGGAGACTACTCATCCATAGAAAGAATAACATCCTGATATTTGCAGCCACATGGATGGAACTGGAAGTCATTACAAAGATTCCCATTTCTCACCCATATACAGAGCTAAAAGGTGGATCTCATGAAGGTAGAGAGTAGAATGGTGGCTTCCAGAGGCCAGGAAGAAAAGGGTGGAGGGTAAAAAAAAAAAAAAAAATATATATATATATATATATATATATATATATATATATANNCACATATATATATGTATATATATGTGTGTGTATATATATATACATACATATATATATATATATATATTTATAAATGTATTTATGACCACTAGACTTTACACTTAAAAATGGTAAATGTGGCTGGGAGTGGTGGCTCATGCCTGTAATCCCAGCACTTTGGGAGGCAGATGCGGGTGGATCACGTGGTCAGGAGTTGGAGACCAGCTCGACCAACATGGTGAAACCACCTCTCTACTAAAAATACAAAAAGTAGCCTGGCGTGGTGGTGCGCGCCTGTAGCACCAGCTACTCAGGTGGCTGAGGCAGGAGAATCACTTGAACCCAGGAGGCGGAAGTTGCAGTGAGCTGAGATTGTGCCACTGCACTGCAGCATAGGGGACAGAGCTAGACTCTGCCTCAAAAAAAAAAAAAATGTTAAAGGTGGTAAGCTATATAGGTATATTTATCCTCAATAAATATTTCTTCAAACAAAAGTAAAGGGTGTAGGGGTTGCTGGTGATGACATCCCTGTGTGGGTGAGAGGCCAGGATGGGCTTCTGGGAAATGGGTAATGTTGAGGGGCTGAGGGAACCTCTGATCTTCCCAAACTGAGCCCAGTCTCCCTCCTCTGGGTCTCTCCTGACCGCTTTCTCCATCTGCCTGTGTGCCTGGAGCCCTGGCCGCGGGCCTTCATGCAGGCCGTGTAGGAGGGTTTGGAGGTGCCCTGTCTGCCATCCTGTGCCCTGATCCCTCCCTCACACCCAAGCTTCGTCTTCTCTCTGCATCTGTCCATGCTTATCTCCATCATCAGCAGGAAGCTCCTCAGCTAAGGCTCTAGGATCATAGGACATGAGACAGATATGGGGTTTCCTCACCTGTGACAGAAACAAGCAGTGGGTCACTCGAGTTTGACCACTCGTATGGAGAGTCACGGAAAGAGCCGAAGCATCTGTAGGTTCCTCCGTGGGTGGCAGGGCCCAGAGGAAAGTCGGCCTGGAATGTTCCGTTGACCTTGGGCCCTGCAGAGAACCTACATTCATGGGCCTCCCCCTCCCTGGATAGATGGTACATGTCATAGGAGCTCCGGGAGCTGCAGGACAAGGTCACGCTCTCTCCTGCCAGAACCGTGGGGCCCGGCTGGGCTGAGAGAGAAGGTTTCTCATATAGACCTGGAAGGAGAAGAGGCATTTTCCTCAGGGAGGATCTTCCTTGTCACAGCTCCCTTCACCTGAGCTGAGAACTCACTCCCCTGCTCTATGACCTAATGCTCTCTCTCTCTCTCTCTCACCCTCCACCCCATCTCTCTTCATGTCTATTTCCTTCTTCCACCTTCTCTGTCTCTCTAGGTCTCTGACCTCGCTTCCCCACCTCTAGATATGTTTTCCGTTTTTGGATTGTTTTATTCTCTCTGACTCTCCTTGGATTGGTTGACTTGATGTTACTTTTTTAAATTCTAAGTTTCTCACGTTGTGTCCTGTTCATAACTTTCTGCATATTTCTATCTATTATCTGTCGATCTATCTATTTATCTATTCGGTGCCTATCTACAAATTCTCTACCTGTCATCTATATCTATATATCATCTATGTATCTATCAGTTGTCTATCTATCCATCAATCATCTGTTATTTATATGTATGTATCATCTCTCTCTCTATGATTTCTGTCTGCCTCTCTATCTGTACGTATTATCTGTCTTCATCATCATCATCTCTATGTATTATCTATTAATGAATCAATCAATCATCATCTATGTATCTTTAACCTATTATCTATCATCTACCTATTTATCATCTATCTATATCTATCCATCTATCATCTGTATTGCTCTGCCTCTCGGTCTCTCTAGCTCTCTTTGGAATCTCTGCAATTCATCCCCACATCTCCATGTTTCTATGTCCTTGTGCCTCTCTCTCAGGACTCTAATTTTAGTGCTTTTCTCTGCTCCCTGCCATCATTCTCACCACTCCTCTGCCCTCTTTTCTCTCTCTTTATGTGTCTGTGAGTCTCTCAATCTCCTTCCTCTGGCTCATTCTCCGTGTGTTTATGTCTTTGCTTTTTGGTGTTCCTGATTTTTCTCTGTGCCTCTCAGTGATCCTTTCATATGTGGGGTTATTTGGAATGTGAGCCTCAGAATCCAGTCTGGAGACCACAAGTTCACACAGCATACAGGGGTTGGTGTTCTGGGGCCATGATATCCTGGGACGGTTACTCTCCATTACATGGAAGGCAGAGGTGTCAGAATAAACATGGCCTGTAGGTGCCACAAGGCCTGAGGCCACAGGGCCCAACTCAGGTCAGAAATATGGGTGTCCTTGGGTTCTCCTGGTAGAGAACACTTTGTGGAGGTAAAACAGAAATGAAACTTCTAACCTGTGCCAGGTCTGTGAGCAAAGTCAGCATGGAGGGACACCTCTCTCTGGGACATGTCTGTCTGTCTGTCTCTTTTAACTCTTTCTGTCTTTTCTAACTCCCTGTATGGCCCCTGTGTCTGTCCTCCGTTATGACACCTGGTCTGTACTTGTGTCTCCTGTTTCTCTGTCTCTGTTGGTACAAACCTCAGCAAGTCAGTCTCTCTCCATAAGAATACCAAGCTCATCTTCCTTACAACTACCTGGGGGTTCCAAGTCGTGGATCATTCACTCTGCAGCCCAATGACAATGAGAATGTCCGGACACTCTCACCTGTGATGACGATGTCCAGAGGGTCACTGGGAGCTGACAACTGATAGGGGGAGTGAGTAACAGAACCGTAGCATCTGTAGGTCCCTGCAAGGTCTTGCATCATGGGACCGATGGAGAAGTTGGCTTTGGAGACCCCATCATGGTGCTCTCCAATGAGGTGCAAAGTGTCCTTAAACTTCCCTTCTCTGTGCAGAAGGAAGTGCTCAAACCTGACATCTGACCAACATTGCAGGATGACTGTCTCTTCTGATTTCACCAGGCGACCTGGGTGGGCCAGGAGGGAAGGTTTTCTGTGGACTCCTAGGAAGAGAGGTTGTGAGTTTAGAAGGTGTCTCTCTTTATCATCCCATCCATGGCACCTAGAATGAGTGAGGCTTCCCCTTGCTGGTGTCTGTCTCTCTCCTTCCTCTCTGTGTCTTCATGTTCTTTTCTGTGCCCTTAACTCCTGGTGCAGGTCCTTCCATCTGTCTCCCTCCCTCTTCTCTGTCCCTCTGTCTCTAGTAGCCTCTGATTCCCTTCCCACTGGGCTTAGCCTCATCTCTTGGGGTGTTGTATCTATTTCACACTAATGTCTTTCCTGCTGTTTATGTGGGGGTGAAAGAGGAACCAGGATAGGCTGCACATCCAGGCTCTTATCAGCCTGGTTCAATCTCTTTTGGATGAATTGCAATCCTTGGCAGAAGATATGAACTGATGAATAAGGCAGGCACCAGTGTCCACACACCCTGTTCCTGGTGGGGACTGGGAGCCACTCTTGCCATGCCTGTGCCTTCTCCATGGTGCCAGCTTCCATAGGCTGGCTCCTGGTGCTGGTTGGAGGAGTATCAACCCCTCCCTATGTGGATGGAGCCTGGTGGTGGCATCATCATCCCACCCTTGCTGATCTCAGGGTAGCCAACCTTCTCCTTCTTTGGTTTCTTTAATTAATTAATTAATTTTGGAGACAGAGTCTCACTCCTTCACCCAGGCTGGAGTGAAGTGGTGTGGTCTAGGCTCACTGCAACCTCTGTTTCCTGGGTTCAAGTGATTCTCCTGCCCTCAGCCTCCTGAGTCGCTAGGATTACATGCACCTGCCACCATGCCTGGCTTTCCTTGGGTTGTTTCTTAACTTGTCCTTGACCTGGGTTCCAGTGTTGGTTTCCTGTTGCTGCTGTACAAAATTATCAGAAGCATGGAAGCAGGAGAGACCACACTGACACCTTCCAGTACTGGAGACAGAAATTGGACCCTATTTTTCCTGGGCTAAAATCAAGGCATCTGCAGGGCTTTGTTCCCTCTGGAGACTCTGGAGAATCAGTTCCTTGACTTTTCCAGCCTCTATAGGCCACCTGCATTCATGGCTCTTGGCCTTCCTCCACCTTCAAAGCTGGTGAAGACTTCCACTGGACTGCTCTAATCCCCACTCCCCTCTTCCTCCTCCTTTCATGTGCACCCTTGTGATTACACTGAGCCCAGTGGGACAGTCCAGGCTGTCTCCCCATGAGCTCCATCTTCCCCTTCAGTCCCTTCCCCTATAACATACATAGTCACAGACTCCAGGGATTAGAATGTAGTCATCACTGGGGACAATTATTCTTCCCACCACAGCACCCATTTCCCTGTATTCAATCCCCCTTTACCACAAATACAGTCAGGGCCTGCGTGATGGGACCCTCAAGGACATGCCCACCAGAAGCTCTGGGATTCAGGAGGTGGGACAAGGAGAATCCAAGACAGGAGCCCTCTGACCTATGACCACGATCACCAGGGGGTTGCTGGGTGCTGACCACCCACTGGGGGAGTGTGTGTGTGAACCCCGACATCTGTATGTCCCTGTTGTGCGGGGGTCACAGGGCCCATGAAAAGGCTGTTCCAGAATATTCTGTTGTAGAGCTCAGGGACAGGCACCCCACCTTCCTTGTACAGACTGAAGTTGTTAAACCCAAGATAAGAGTGACACCGAAGAATGACATGTCCTAGAGGCACCACAAGGCTGGGCCAGGCAGACAGCAAGGGCTTGTCCTGACCACCTTGGGGAGAAGGAGGCGCCGCCTTAGAGAGGAGGATGTGGAACTGCCCCTCCCTCCCTGTGCTCAGAAGATTCTCCTCGCTTTCCACGTTTCTATGGCTACTATCACACCTTGGTGCCCAGGGCTGAAGGAAGGACCCATCCCGCAAAGACATGGTGTCTCCCTACAACAAAAGCCTCAGCTGAGAACTTTGAGCAAGTGCTGAGTAAAGAGACTCCTACTAGATTTTGATACTGTAAGATTACTCACATAAAACAACACAGGGTAGACATGAGGTGGAGGGCATGTCCTTTGTGAATGGATATCAGCGGATGCCTGAACGAAAATAAACAACTGAGCCCCCATCAGAGGATTTGGAATGTCAGGGCCATGGCTGTGGTTTCCCACCTCTTCTGGTAGAATGACAGCAGCCACACTGCAGCCCCTACCATCATGGAAACGCTGAAGTGTGTGAGTAACACCTTTGTCCTCAGAGGATCTGCTGTTCCTACCACTTCCCAACCACACACCCCAGCTTTGAGCACCCCAGTCTAACCCTGGTCCCCACAGAACTTGACTCTGCCAAGGGGTTGAGAGGCCAGGGAGGCGAGGTCAGAAATGTGGGCTGAGCACCCCAGGGTCCTCTCTTCCTAGTTTATGAGAGACTCCCCGACAGGACTTCCCTCCTGTTTCAGGAAAATCCTCTTATGTGGGGAGATGACACCCGAAGGTTTGGAGAAGGACTCACCCTCATGTGGCCAGGCCCCCTGCAGCAAGAAGAACCCTGGAAAGAAAGATCATGATGGACGATCCATCTGCAGGCGAACCAGCCCTCCCTTGCTGCCCCCACTGGGCTGTGAGTCTTGGCAGCCAGGCCCTTCCTGGGCTGAAGTTAAACTCACCCTCAGTGCCTACCTGCACCCAAGAACAGGGCTGTCGGCTGTGCAGAGACCCAGTTTCCAGGCCCATATCCCCACCCCAAGCCCATATCTCCACTCCAGGCTGATATTTCCACCCTAGGCCCATATCGCCAATCCAGGCTCAGATCTCCACCCTAGGCCCCTATCTCCAATCCAGTCCCATATCTCCGCCCCAGGCCCAGAACTCCACCCTAAGCCCATATCTCCACTCCAGGCCCATATCACCTCTCCAGTCCCATATCTCCACACCCAGGCCCATATCTCCTTCCTAGGCCCATATCTCCACTCCAGGCCCAGATATCCACCTCTAGGCCCATAACTCCACTCCTGGCCCATATCTCCACTCCAGGCCCATATCTCTACTGCAGGCCCGTATCTCCACCTCCAGACCCATATCTCCACTCCAGGCCCATATCTCCACCTCCAGGCCCATATCTCCACCTCCAGGCCCATATCTCCACTTCAGGCCCATATCTCCACTCCAGGCCCATATCTCCACTCCAGGCCCCTATCTCTACTGCAGGCCCATATCTCCATCTCCAGGCCCATATCTCCATCTCCAGGCCCATGTCTCCACTACAAGCCCATATCTCTACTGCAGGCCCATATCTCAACCTCCAGGCCCATATCTCCACTCCAGGCCCAGATCTCCACTTCTAGGCCCATCACTCCATCTCTAGGCCCATAACTCCACTTCCAGGCCTATATCTCCAACTCTGGGCCCCGATCTCCATCCCCGCACTCCCTCCCTCGATTCCCTTCCAGGACTCACCAACACACGCCATGCTGACGACCATGAGCGACATGGTGCTGTCTGTGCAGACAGGCGGCCGCGCCCCAGCTCAGCTCAGCAGCGCACAGGATGTTATTTGGCGCCCTGCCCATGCAGTTTACATGTTGACCACATCATGGGAGGGTGACGTACGCAGGCTCTTTCTACCTTGCATGAGGCCCAGTGGGTGCTCGCTCAAGAGCGGAACATGGCTTCCTGGAAATTGTTCTCACTAGAATTGACACCTTGCGTCCTTCACTACGACCAGACTCAAAAGACGTCTCAGATCCAACCTCTCATACACGAGATGATTGAATTCTGTGCTTACATTAAAGATTTTTGATGTATTTTTGTTTTTATCTGAGATTCAAACTCTTCTTCATATGTAATGTGCAAAATGTCTAACAGGTATTATTAACATTATCAGAGTAATTGTGACAAGAAGCCATTCTAATTTTCCTGCTTGAGTTTCTAGTACTAAACCAGAGGCATCAGAATAGCTTGAACCTGGGAGGCGGAGGTTGCAGTGAGCTGAGCTCAAGCCACTGAACTCCAGCTTGGGTGACAGAGGAAGAGTCTGTCTCAAGAAAAAAAAAAAAGCAAACTAAATAACCTATAATAACAAATCAGAGGACTCAGGTTACCAAATTTTAAGGGGTTCTATAAGTTTATATAAAATGCAGCATCCTCATGAGAGGGGATACAGAGAACCACTGGACAGAAAACTGTGTCTAAAATACATCTGTGGATACACAGTCCCTTTATAGTTGACAAAGGCTGCCATGTAGTTTAAGGTGGAATAGAATATTTTCTCAACAAATAACACAGGACCATAGGGTTACACGTAGGAAAAAATAAATCTAAACTTATCCTCACACTATAAAAACACTTCTTATTTTTTATCTTGTTGTTGTAAATTTTTTATGCTTTATTTTTAAGATTGACAAATAAAAATTATATACCATGGTCCTTCACTATACCTGGGTGATTGGTTCCAGGATCCCCATTCAGATACCAAAATCTGCAGATGCTCAAGCCCCTTGCATGAAATGGCATAGTGAAGCTGGGCACCGTGGCTCACGCCCGTAATCCCAGCACTTTGGGAGGCTGAGCTGGGTAGATCACAAGGTCAGGAGTTCAAGACCAGCTGGTCCAACATTCTGAAACCCCGTCTCTACTAAAAATACACACACAAAAAAATTTATCTGTGCATGGTGGCACGTGCCTGTAATCCTAGGGGAGGCTACTGGGGAGGCTGAGGGAAGACAATCGCTTGAACCTGGGAGGCGGAGGTTGCAGTGAGTTGAGATCACGCCACTGCACTCCAGCCTGGGTGAGAGAGTGAGACTGTCTCAAAAAAAAAAAATAGCATAGCAATTGCATAGAACCCATGCACATCCTCCTGTATACATGAAATCATCTCTTGATTACTTATAATTCCTGACACAGCCTACACGCCACTCAATTTGTGTCGATTCAACATAGTTTTTTGCTTTTTGAAACTTCGGGGATTTTTTTCTCAAAATATTTTTGATTTATTGTTGGTTCAATAAACACCTGTAAACCCCACAGATATGGAGGACCGACTGTATATTTATATTATGAAAGATGATATGTTGATATGTGTCCCCGTGGAGATGAGACTAACAAGGCCTATGACTCTACAAATGTTTCATCGTGGAATGACTCTGCCAGCTTTCCAGGTCTGCAGAGAGTAAGAATATCACTTGTTCATGTGATTCACGATCCTTGGAGCCTCCTATGTGCTGTATCTTTGGATGGAAATTGGAGTCTCAGAGACAATTCAGGCTCCATTCTGCTTCCAGAAGCTCAGAGTCCAGGGCTGAGAACCCAATGGAGAACAGATGGGGTTATGTGGACATGGTAATGATAACACCGGAAGCCTTAGGCAAGAGAAGAGTCTCGTTACCGAAACCATGAGGGCAGACATGTTTATTTGAAGGCGGGAAAACTACATTGAAATTATTTAAAAAATTTATAAGTTTTACTGCTGGCAGAAGGCTGAAAGATAGTCTGAAGGGAGGTGGAACAGCACGTGTCTAAGTGCTGTGTTAAGAGGGAGCCTCTTGTATGTTTGGAATTGTGAGTTCCTCAGTGTGATTGCAGCCTCAGGTAGACTAGGAAGTAAGCTAGTTAGGTTGGAGAGGTGGGCAGGGGTCAAGTGAAATGGAGAATTGTGGGCTAAGCAAAGGAGTGTGTTTTCTCTCCAGCAGGCAGTGGGGACCTTAGACATTTGTAAGCAAGAGAGAGGCATGTTCAGATTCGTGGTGTGAGGAAGAGCGATGCCCTAAGATGAAGACTGATGCCTTCAGATTCCAGCTGCTGGTACATGGGAGCTGGCAACCCGGTTTTGAGACAGGGCTGTTGTCTCCCTAGAAGATCCCCTCAAGGCCTGACTGTGGTGCTCGTGGACAGAAGACAACTTTGGATCTGGGCTCAGCATTTGGAAGTTCTATGTACATGCTGGTATCTGTTGGGGGTGTCTTGGGCCTCTCAGAAGGGCGAGTGATTTCTCTCTGTGTGAAAACACAGTGATCCAATTATGCGTATGACACCTCCTGATGGTCTTGTTCATCAGAATCCTGGAGAGAGGGAAATGCTGAGTGAGGGAGGGTGCTCACATTTTTCAGGACTCTTTGGGAATAAGACTAGCCACGAGGCTGGGCCGAGGAGCACCTACCTCGCTGTTCACTGTTCTGTTCCCTGCAGGCTCTTGGTCCATTACAGCAGCATCTGTAGAAGACGGAAGTCAACAAAAGAGCTCGGAGGGCACTTCTGGGTCCTCATTTCATAAGCAGATACCAACAAACAGGGGGAGGCCATAGGTGCCTGAGGTCCCTCAGTTGCCAACAGCAGACTCAGACATTCTATCTCTCTGAGTTCAAGGACCCATCCCATGAATAGCTCTGAGTTCCCATCCCATTGATTCTATCTCCCACTTTCTGCCTGTCATGGAACCTTCTCCTGGATGTGAGTGGCTGCAGGGGACGTGAGGGTACAGTTCAGAATCAGGCAACGGTCTGTGAGCTGAAGGCAGGGGAAGGGAATCTGGTGCTCTCTCTAGAAAGTCCTGCCTCTGTGGCTCCTGTCTTGGGCCAGGGACCATCCTGCTGGTGAGGAACACACACCTGAGTGCTCCCATCCTGCTTCCCCACATGGCCCTGAGCTCTCTGGCCTCTGCTTCGTGAGACTTACTTTTTTTGTTGGAGCACCAGCGATGAAGGAGAAAGAAGAGGAGGATGGTGAAAGGGATTTTGACCACTGAGGTCCCAATCAGAACATGCAGGTGTCTGGGGTTACCTGGAAGAAGAGGAGACACCAATAAGAAGCTAATCATAGCAGTTCCTCTTTATGAATTGTCTCGCATTTCTTGATTGGCAGGTAACCACATACAACGTCTCTTTAGGACAAGCACCCAAATGGCGGGAGACCTAGCTTTCCCCTGCTTTCTCAATTATAGCTCTCATAGTAACCATAGAACGTGCTGAGGATACAACTACTTTAGTTGAGATGTTTGACCCCTTCAAACCTCACATTGAAATTTCACCCCCATTGTGGGAGGTTGGGCCTCTTCAGAGGTGTTTGGGTCATGGAGGTGGATCCATCATGAACAGATCAATGCTGTCCCAAGGAGACGGGGTTAGCAAGTTCCCCCTCTGTTAGTTCCTGGACAGCTGGTTGTTAAAAAGAGCTTGGAAGCTCCATTGCTCCCTCTCCCCCTTACTCTCTCTCTTGCCGTGTGATCTCTGTGGTCTCTGCACAGACAGACCCTCCTTCCCTTCTGCCAGAGTGGGAGCAGCCTGAGGCCATCACGAGAAATAGATTCTGGTGCCATGCTTCCAGTACAGCCTGCAGAACTGTGAGGCAAACCGATCTCTTTTCTTTAGAAGTTACCGAGGCTCAAGTGTTCCTTCAGAGCAACAAAAAAAAAAACTAAGACAGCAACGACCTGAGATCAGGAGGAATGTCTCAGAACAGCCTGGGCTGTCTTCCTGTTCTTCCTGGAGGAAGGCGTCATGCAGTGCTTTAGCTGAGTGCTTCCTGTGGCTCCAGGGTACAAAACCCAGGCTGGGCTGCTTTCTGGCTTCCCCCAGCTACACTGCAAATGGGGTGACTCCATATGTCCCGAGCAGCTTTTCTGAGCCTTGAGGGACTGGCTCACATTGAAATGTAGGCTTCTGTTGTCACTCGCTGCTTATCTGTTAGTAATGAACCTGCCTGTGTAATGTATTCTCTGTGTGTTCTGTCTCCCTGGAGTGACGGTGAGTGATAGGAATTGGCATAGGCCCAGGTGCAGTCCAGGAGGTGTTTAGAGTCTTCTCTGGGAAGACTGCACTGGGATTGATACACAGCGACTGTGCTTTAGGATTTCTACATCCACGGCATTCTTGAGTCAAACAACTTGCATTCTCCAAGAAAAGGAAACAAAAGTGAAATCAAGATAAAAAAAGCGAAGTAGAATTCTCTTATGTCAAATGGCCAGGAAACAGTGTTGAAGCCCATGTGAAACGTGCTACTCTTTGTGATCTCAGGAGACACATGTTAGGTTGCTGTTCTACCCGAGAGGCTGGGGGAAGGACCACCCCCTCGGCCATCTATTGCTTCAATACCACCTGTCCTCCTGTGAATTAGTAGGAAAGGGGAGCAGGAGCTACTGCTGACGCTAATCTCTGATTCCAAGATCTGGACTCACTCCAAGGAGTATTAGAATTTACCTCCCCATGGCCTATCTGAATCTCCACAGATGATTGGAAGTAGGGGTGAGGTGGGGGATTTGGGTGAGAGGGCATGTTTTCTTGTGATGAACAGAGCACTTTGTGTATTCCAGGATCTGTGCTGGAGGATTCAGCGGGCTTTCACATTTTCTATATGATCTCATGCTCACAGAAAGCCAAATAGGGAAGAGGTTTTAGGCTCATTGCCTAATGGATAAGATAAAGGATCAAAGAAGTAATTATAGAGAAATAGAAAAATCATGATTGGAATTCAGGTCCCTTTCTCATTTGCATGTGTTATATTATATTTATATTTATGCATTTCTTATTTTTATTTTTTGAGACGGAGTCTCCTTGTGTCACCCAGGCTGGAGTGCAGTGATGCAATCTCCACTCACTGCAACCTCCACCTCCTGGGTTGAAGTCATTCTCCTGCTTCATCCTCCAGAGTAGGAGCTGGGATTACAGGGATGCACCACCATGCTCGGCTAATTTTTGTGTTTTTCCTAGAGACAGGGTTTCACCATGTTGGCCAGGCTGGTCTCGAACTGCTGACTTCATGTGATCCACCCGCCTTGGCCTCCTGCAGTGCTGGGTTACAGGCGTGAGCCACCGTTCACAGACTTGTATATTATGCTATAATAGGTCCCTTCATTTCCACCACCCCTCATATATCTGTCACTCCTTTGCCAGGTATTGATTTATGTGTAGTAGGAATAAAGCTCAGAAAGAAATTAAGCGAGGATTAGACAACTAGGAAAATCATACCCAGCAAGCCTTTCCAGCCAATGATTCCACCTCACAAGCATAGCTTATATCCATCTGCTTCACCCAGTTAGGGTCTAAATCAGCACCACATTTCACCAGTGGGGCGGGAATTGCCTTTTCCACAGTCTCCTAGATTCCAGTTACGCACCTGGGCCTCCCTTATTTTCATGTCAGTCACTATTAATCATGTAGGGATTCCTGGCTACCCCGAGGTGAATCCAATGGCTGTGAGTGTCAAACACACACTCCTTGTTGCTCCTTAGTTTCCTGTGTACCCAGTGTGCTCTCCGTCTCTCCACAGTCGTCTTGTCATTCTCCCCACCTCATTCCCAGCATTTGAGGCAGAGCCTCTTCCTTCCACATCAGATTGTTTTCAGCTTTCTGCCTTCACGGCTGACAGCTGTGTGTGGAAAATCCTTCCGCCAATCTTTCAGGGGTTCAATCCGTGTTTTTCATTAATGTCACAAATATCTGATTAGTGAGATCTTCTCTGTCACCCAAAATCATACACTCAGCATTATGTATTATTTATTTTAAATTCTGGCTGGGCACAGTGGCTCACGCCAGTTATCCCAGTACTTTAGGATGCTGAGACGGTCGGATCACTTGAGGTTGGGAGTTTCAGAGAAGCTTGGCGAAGATGGTGAAACATCCTCTACAAAAAATATACAAAAAGAATTAGCCGGGCATGGTGGCAGTTGCCTGTAATCCCAGCTACTTGAGAGGCTGACGCAGGAGAATCACTTGGATCCAGAAGGTGCAGGTTGCAGTGAGCCAAGATGGTGACACTGCACTGTAGCCTGGAAGACAGAGGGAGACTCTGTCTCAATAAACAAATGAAGAAACAAACAAATAGATTTCATACACAGATGCTTCCCAATGGATCATTCATTTATTGGTCCACTTGTGCATTCATTTTCTGCCCTCCCATTTAACCATCTGCAATATCAGTGTCCAAAGAGCAGAGGCCAAATGCATCTTGTTCACTGTTTGTGGAAGGCAGGAGAATGCTGTCCCACCCCAAAATGTCCCTGTCCTAGCCTCCATAGCTTGTGAATATCTTATTTTACATGGAAAGGAGGAATGAAGATTGCAGATGGAATTATGGTTGCTAATCAGCTGAACTTAAAACAAGGGTATCCTGAATGATTTCCGGGAGATTATGATGGATTTTCATCTTGGTGAACCCAATAGAATCCCCAAGTTTTCAAAAGATGAGGAAGAAGGGAGAGCAGCATTCAGAGAAAGAGGTGTGGTAAGGAAGAAGGGTCTGAGTGATGCCATGTGAGATGTGACCAGTCTTTGTGGGCTTTGAGGAAGGAGGAAGGGGACCAGGAGCGAAGGAATGTGGGAGCCTCTAGAAGCTGAGAAAAGTGAGAAGCAGATTCTTGCCTGGAATCCTCAGAGGGAAGGCAGCCTTGCTGTCACCTTGATTTTAGCCCAGTGAGATGCACTTCATACTTTGAGCTACAGCACTGTAAGATAATTAAAAAACCGTTTTGTTTTCACCCACGAATCTTGTGGAAATTTGTTATGGCAACAATAGGAAAAGCTTCCACAGTGCACAGCCTGAGCATGGGGCCGTGGCTGAATGAGTCAGTGAGTCGAAGTGTGCGTGCATGAGCTCTGTTCTCTGTTACAGCAAGGCTCTTTCTCTGCTGAGTCAGCCAGGGTTGCTTCATGACCTATAGGAGCTCATTCCTTGGCAAGTGGAACTTCTCTAAAACACCTCGCCCTCATCAGATGTTCCCTTCCCTTCCCTCTCTCAAGTCTCCAGGAATTTATCCTCCAGTTAGGAATGCAGGCAGAACAAACATTGCATTTTTCCTGAGAAGGATGTCAGATTGGCAATCATTCTTCTAGCTTGTAGGAAGTCTCAGCTCCATAAAATGAGAGATGAAGAGATTTCACTGAGCCCTGTGTTGGACCCAGATCCCTTTCGCTGTAGGAGTATCTGGAGTTCGGAGATGGTGGAAGACAGGGGTACAATGTCAGAGCTGTGAGATGCTGAGTCAACGCCTGAATCCAAGGTTTCCACCTCCCCAGGTTTCCAAAAGCGGATATAAGAGGGTTCTGTACTCACCGGTTTTGGAGCTTGGTTCAGTGGGTGAAGGCCAACTATTTGAAGGGTTTCCTAGAACATGAGACAGGAGAGAGGTGAGGAAATGAGGGTGTCTGTCCTCTACTCAGTGGAAATCTTTGAGGATGGTTCATGGCCAACACTCTGTTATCTAATATTGGGCCCTGGGAGTCCTGGGATCCTTTTTTCCATAATTTTTTTATGTGACGCCCACTGTCTTGAGACTTCAAGGTATAAAGAGAAAACAGGAGCATCACACTACCTGATCTCAAAATATGTTACAGAGCTGTAGTAAGCAAAACAGCATGACATTGGCATAAAGAAAGGGACATAGAACAACGGAGCAGAATGAATAACACAGATATATTCCATGCATTTACATCCAATGGTTTTTTATTTTTTCTTTTGAGATGGAGTCTTGCTCTGTCACTCAGGCTGGAGTGCAGAGGTGCAATCTCAGTTCACTGCAACCTCAGCCTCCTGGGTTCAATCATTCTCTTGCCTCAAACTCCTGAGTAGTGGTATTACAGGTGCTGACCACCATGCTCAGCTAATTTTTATATTTTTAGTGGAGACGATGTTTCATCACGTCGTCCAGACTGATCTTGAACTCCTGGCCTCAGGTAATCCACCCGCCTCGGCCTCCCAAAGTGCTGAAATTGCAGGTGTCAGCCACCAAGCCCAGCCCATCCAATGGACTTTGACAAAGGTGCCAAGAACTCACAATCAGGAAAGGACAGTCTTTTCAATAAACAGTGCAGGGAAACCTGGACATCGACATGCAGAGGAATGAAACTGCACCTCTACCTGTCACCATACACAAAAATCAAATGAAAATGGATTAAAGATGTGAGTCTAAGGCCTGAACCTATGAAACACGTAGAACAAAATATTGGGGAAATGCTCCAGGACATTTGTCTGAAGAAAGACATTTTGTTTTAAACCTTGAAAACACAAGTAATCGAAGCAAAAATAGACCATTGGGATTACCTCAAACTAAGCAACTTCTGCACTGCTAAAAATAAACCAACAAAGTGAAGAGACAACCCACAGATTGGGAGCAAATATGTGCAAACTATGCATCTGAGATGGGATTAATAACTAGAAATATAAGAAGCTCAAACAACTCAATAAAACAAATGATTTAATTGAAAAAGGAGCAGAAGACATGAAATTTCCCCACATACTAAAAAGTGCTCAGTATCACTCATCATCAGAGAAACGCAAATTAAAATCAAAGTGAGTTTTCATCTCACCCCATTAAAATGGCTTTTAGGCCGGGCGTGGTGGCTCACGTCTGTCATCCTAGAACTTTGAGAGCCTGAGGTGGGTGAATCTCATAAGGTCAGGAGTTTGAGACCAGTCTGACCCACATAGAGAAACACTGTCTCTACTAAAAATACAAAAATTAGTCGGGCGTGGTGGAGTGTGCCTGTAATTCCAGCTACTCGGGAGGCTGAGGCAGGAGAATCGCTTGAACCTGGGAGGTGGAGGTTGTGGTGAGCCGAGATAGCGCCACTGCACTCCTGCCTGGGTGAGAAGAGCAAAACTCCATCTCAAAATAAAATGAAATAAAATAAAATGGCTTTTAGCTGCAAGACAGGCAAAAGAAATGCTGGCAAGGTGGTAGAGAAAGGAGAACCCTGGTACCCTGTTGGGAGGAGTGTAAATTAGTACAGCGATTACGGAGAAAAGTATGGAAGTCCTTTAAAGAACTAAAAAGAGGTTGGGTGTGGTGGATCAGGCCTGTAATCCCGGCACTTTGGGAGACTGAGGCGGGCATCTCAGTTGAGGTCATGAGTTTGAGAGCAGCCCAGCCAACATGGGGAAACCCCATCTATACTAAAAAAAACAAAAAGTAGCCAGGCATGGTGGCGTGCACCTGTAATCCCAGCTACTAGGGAGGCTGAGGCAGGAAAATCATTTGAACCCAGGAGGCAGAGGTTGCAATGAGCCAAGATGACATCACTTGTACTCCAGCCTGGGCACAGAGGGAAACTGTCTCAAAAACAAAAACAAAACAACAAACGAAAAACTAAAAAGAGAACTTTCATAGTATCCAGCAATTTCACTACTGGGTTTATATCCAAAGGAAAGTAAATCAATATATCGAAGTGATATCTGCACTCGTATGATTGGTGCAGCACTGTTCACAGTAGCCAAGATGTGGAGTCAACCTACCTGCCCATCAGTGGATGAATGGATAGAGAGAATGTAGTACATACGCACAGTGGAGACTACTCATCCATAGAAAGAATAACATCCTGATATTTGCAGCCACATGGATGGAACTGGAAGTCATTACAAAGATTCCCATTTCTCACCCATATACAGAGCTAAAAGGTGGATCTCATGAAGGTAGAGAGTAGAATGATGGCTTCCAGAGGCCAGGAAGAAAAGGGTGGAGGGTAAAAAAAAAAAAAAAATATATATATATATAAATGTATTTATGACCACTAGACTTTACACTTAAAAATGGTAAATGTGGCTGGGCGTGGTGGCTCATGCCTGTAATCCCAGCACTTTGGGAGGCACATGCGGGTGGATCACGTGGTCAGGAGTTGGAGACCAGCTCGACCAACATGGTGAAACCACCTCTCTACTAAAAATACAAAAAGTAGCCTGGCGTGGTGGTGCGCGCCTGTAGCACCAGCTACTCAGGTGGCTGAGGCAAGAGAATCGCTTGAACCCAGGAGGCGGAAATTGCAGTGAGCTGAGATTGTGCCACTGCACTCCAGCATAGGGGACAGAGCTAGACTCTGCCTCAAAAAAAAAAAAAATGTTAAAGGTGGTAAGCTATATAGGTATATTTATCCTCAATAAATATTTCTTCAAACAAAAGTAAAGGGTGTAGGGGTTGCTGGTGATGACATCCCTGTGTGGGTGAGAGGCCAGGATGGGCTTCTGGGAAATGGATAATGTTGAGGGGCTGAGGGAACCTCTGATCTTCCCAAACTGAGCCCAGTCTCTCTCCTCTGGGTCTCTCCTGACCGTTTTCTCCATCTGCCTGTGTGCCTGGAGCCCTGGCCGCGGGCCTTCATGCAGGCCGTGTAGGAGGGTTTGGAGGTGCCCTGTCTGCCATCCTGTGCCCTGATCCCTCCCTCACACCCAAGCTTCGTCTTCTCTCTGCATCTGTCCATGCTTCTCTCCATCATCAGCAGGAAGCTCCTCAGCTAAGGCTCTAGGATCATAGGACATGAGACAGATATGGGGTTTCCTCACCTGTGACAGAAACAAGCAGTGGGTCACTCGAGTTTGACCACTCATAGGGAGAGTCACGGAAAGAGCCGAAGCATCTGTAGGTTCCTCCGTGGGTGGCAGGGCCCAGAGGAAAGTCGGCCTGGAATGTTCCGTTGACCTTGGGCCCTGCAGAGAACCTACGTTCATGGGCCTCCCCCTCCCTGGATAGATGGTACATGTCATAGGAGCTCCGGGAGCTGCAGGACAAGGTCACGCTCTCTCCTGCCAAAACCGTGGGGCCCGGCTGGGCTGAGAGAGAAGGTTTCTCATATAGACCTGGAAGGAGAAGAGGCATTTTCCTCAGGGAGGATCTTCCTTGTCACAGCTCCCTTCACCTGAGCTGAGAACTCACTCCCCTGCTCTATGACCTAATGCTCTCTCTCTCTCTCTCTCACCCTCCACCCCATCTCTCTTCATGTCTATTTCCTCCTTCCACCTTCTCTGTCTCTCTAGGTCTCTGACCTCGCTTCCCCACCTCTAGATATGTTTTCCCTTTTTGGATTCTTTTATTCTCTCTGACTCTCCTTGGATTGGTTGACTTGATGTTACTTTTTTAAATTCTAAGTTTCTCACGTTGTGTCCTGTTCATAACTTTCTGCATATTTCTATCTATTATCTGTCGATCTATCTATTTATCTATTCGGTGCCTATCTACAAATTCTCTACCTGTCATCTATATCTATATATCATCTATGTATCTATCAGTTGTCTATCTATCCATCAATCATCTGTTATTTATATGTATGTATCATCTCTCTCTCTATGATTTCTGTCTGCCTCTCTATCTGTACGTATTATCTATCTGTCTTCATCATCATCATCTCTATGTATTATCTATTAATGAATCAATCAATCATCATCTATGTATCTTTAACCTATTATCTATCATCTACCTATTTATCATCTATCTATATCTATCCATCTATCATCTGTCTTGCTCTGCCTCTCGGTCTCTCTAGTTCTCTTTGGAATCTCTGCAGTTCATCCCCACATCTCCATCTTTCTATGTCCTTGTGCCTCTCCCTCAGGACTCTAATTTTAGTGCTTTTCTCTGCTCCCTTCCATCATTCTCACCACTCCTCTGCCCTCTTTTCTCTCTCTTTATGTGTCAGTGAGTCTCTCAATCTCCTTCCTCTGGCCCATTCTCTGTGTGTTTATGTCTTTGCTTTTTGGTGTTCCTGATTTCTCTCTGTGCCTCTCAGTGATCCTTTCATATGTGGGGTTATTTGGAATGTGAGCCTCAGAATCCAGTCTGGAGACCACAAGTTCACACAGCATACAGGGGTTGGTGTTCTGGGGCCATGATATCCTGGGACGGTTACTCTCCATTACATGGAAGGCAGAGGTGTCAGAATAAACATGGCCTGTAGGTGCCACAAGGCCTGAGGCCACAGGGCCCAACTCAGGTCAGAAATATGGGTGTCCTTGGGTTCTCCTGGTAGAGAACACTTTGTGGAGGTAAAACAGAAATGAAACTTCTATCCTGTGCCAGGTCTGTGAGCAAAGTCAGCATGGAGGGACACCTCTCTCTGGGACATGTCTGTCTGTCTGTCTCCTTTAACTCTTTCTGTCTTTTCTAACTCCCTGTATGGCCCCTGTGTCTGTCCTCCGTTATGACACCTGGTCTGTACTTGTGTCTCCTGTTTCTCTGTCTCTGTTGGTACAAACCTCAGCAAGTCAGTCTCTCTCCATAAGAATACCAAGCTCATCTTCCTTACAACTACCTGGGGGTTCCAAGTCGTGGATCATTCACTCTGCAGCCCAATGACAATGAGAATGTCCGGACACTCTCACCTGTGATGACGATGTCCAGAGGGTCACTGGGAGCTGACAACTGATAGGGGGAGTGAGTAACAGAACCGTAGCATCTGTAGGTCCCTGCAAGGTCTTGCATCATGGGACCGATGGAGAAGTTGGCCTTGGAGACCCCATCATGGTGCTCTCCAATGAGGTGCAAAGTGTCCTTATACTTCCCCTCTCTGTGCAGAAGGAAGTGCTCAAACCTGACATCTGACCAACATTGCAGGATGACTGTCTCTTCTGATTTCACCAGGGGACCTGGGTGGGCCAGGAGGGAAGGTTTTCTGTGGACTCCTAAGAAGAGAGGTTGTGAGTTTAGAAGGTGTCTCTCTTTATCATCCCATCCATGGCACCTAGAATGAGTGAGGCTTCCCCTTGCTGGTGTCTGTCTCTCTCCTTCCTCTCTGTGTCTTCATGTTCTTTTCTGTGCCCATAACTCCTGGTGCAGGTCCTTCCATCTGTCTCCCTCCCTCTTCTCTGTCCCTCTGTCTCTAGTAGCCTCTGATTCCCTTCCCACTGGGCTTAGCCTCATCTCTTGGGGTGTTGTATCTATTTCACACTAACGTCTTTCCTGCTGTTTATGTGGGGGTGAAAGAGGAACCAGGATAGGCTGCACATCCAGGCTCTTATCAGCCTTGTTCAATCTCTTTTGGATGAATTGCAATCCTTGGCAGAAGGTATGAACTGATGAATAAGGCAGGCACCAGTGTCCACACACCCTGTTCCTGGTCGGGACTGGGAGCCACTCTTGCCATGCCTGTGCCTTCTCCATGGTGCCAGCTTCCATAGGCTGGCTCCTGGTGCTGGTTGGAGGAGTATCAACCCCTCCCTATGTGGATGGAGCCTGGTGGTGGCATCATCATCCCACCCTTGCTGATCTCAGGGTAGCCAACCTTCTCCTTGTTTGGTTTCTTTAATTAATTAATTAATTTTGGAGACAGAGTCTCACTCCTTCACCCAGGCTGGAGTGAAGTGGTGTGGTCTAGGCTCACTGCAACCTCTGTTTCCTGGGTTCAAGTGATTCTCCTGCCCTCAGCCTCCTGAGTCGCTAGGATTACATGCGCCTGCCACCATGCCTGGCTTTCCTTGGGTTGTTTCTTAACTTGTCCTTGACCTGGGTTCCAGTGTTGGTTTCCTGTTGCTGCTGTACAAAATTATCAGAAGCATGGAAGCAGGAGAGACCACACTGACACCTTCCAGTACTGGAGACAGAAATTGGACCCTATTTTTCCTGGGCTAAAATCAAGGCATCTGCAGGGCTTCGTTTCCTCTGGAGACTCTGGAGAATCAGTTCCTTGACTTTTCCAGCCTCTATAGGCCACCTGCATTCATGGCTCTTGGCCTTCCTCCACCTTCAAAGCTGGTGAAGACTTCCACTGGACTGCTCTAATCCCCACTCCCCTCTTCCTCCTCCTTTCATGTGCACCCTTGTGATTACACTGAGCCCAGTGGGACAGTCCAGGCTGTCTCCCCATGAGCTCCATCTTCCCCTTCAGTCCCTTCCCCTATAACATACATAGTCACAGACTCCAGGGATTAGAATGTAGTCATCACTGGGGACAATTATTCTTCCCACCACAGCACCCATTTCCCTGTATTCAATCCCCCTTTACCACAAATACAGTCAGGGCCTGCGTGATGGGACCCTCAAGGACATGCCCACCAGAAGCTCTGGGATTCAGGAGGTGGGACAAGGAGAATCCAAGACAGGAGCCCTCTGACCTATGACCACGATCACCAGGGGGTTGCTGGGTGCTGACCACCCACTGGGGGAGTGTGTGTGTGAACCCCGACATCTGTATGTCCCTGTTGTGCGGGGGTCACAGGGCCCATGAAAAGGCTGTTCCAGAATATTCTGTTGTAGAGCTCAGGGACAGGCACCCCACCTTCCTTGTACAGACTGAAGTTGTTAAACCCAAGATAAGAGTGACACCGAAGAATGACATGTCCTAGAGGCACCACAAGGCTGGGCCAGGCAGACAGCAAGGGCTTGTCCTGACCACCTTGGGGAGAAGGAGGCGCCGCCTTAGAGAGGAGGATGTGGAACTGCCCCTCCCTCCCTGTGCTCAGAAGATTCTCCTCGCTTTCCACGTTTCTATGGCTACTATCACACCTTGGTGCCCAGGGCTGAAGGAAGGACCCATCCCGCAAAGACATGGTGTCTCCCTACAACAAAAGCCTCAGCTGAGAACTTTGAGCAAGTGCTGAGTAAAGAGACTCCTACTAGATTTTAATACTGTAAGATTACTCACATAAAACAACACAGGGTAGACATGAGGTGGAGGGCATGTCCTTTGTGAGTGGATATCAGCGGATGCCTGAACGAAAATAAACAACTGAGCCCCCATCAGAGGATTTGGAATGTCAGGGCCATGGCTGTGGTTTCCCACCTCTTCTGGTAGAATGACAGCAGCCACACTGCAGCCCCTACCATCATGGAAACGCTGAAGTGTGTGAGTAACACCTTTGTCCTCAGAGGATCTGCTGTTCCTACCACTTCCCCACCACACACCCCAGCTTTGAGCACCCCAGTCTAACCCTGGTCCCCACAGAACTTGACTCTGCCAAGGGGTTGAGAGGCCAGGGAGGCAAGGTCAGAAATGTGGGCCGAGCACCCCAGGGTCCTCTCTTCCCAGTTTATGAGAGACTCCCTGACAGGACTTCCCTCCTGTTTCAGGAAAATCCTCTTATGTGGGGAGATGACAACCGAAGGTTTGGAGAAGGACTCACCCTCATGTGGCCAGGCCCCCTGCAGCAAGAAGAACCCTGGAAAGAAAGATCATGATGGACCATCCATCTGCAGGCAAACCAGGACTCCCTTGCTGCCCCCACTGGGCTGTGAGTCTTGGCAGCCAGGCCCTTCCTGGGCTGAAGTTAAACTCACCCTCAGTGCCTACCTGCACCCAAGAACAGGGCTGTCGGCTGTGCAGAGACCCAGTTTCCAGGCCCAGATCCCCACCACAAGCCCATATCTCCACTCCAGGCTGATATTTCCACCCTAGGCCCATATCTCCAATCCAGTCCCATATCTCTGCCCCAGGCCCAGATCTCCACCCTAAGCCCATATCTCCACTCCAGGCCCATATCACCTCTCCAGTCCCATATCTCCACACCCAGGCCCATATCTCCTTCCTAGGCCCATATCTCCACTCCAGGCCCAGATATCCACCTCTAGGCCCATAACTCCACTCCTGGCCCATATCTCCACTCCAGGCCCATATCTCTACTGCAGGCCCGTATCTCCACCTCCAGATCCATATCTCCACTCCAGGCCCATATCTCCACTCCAGGCCCATATCTCTACTGCAGGCCCATATCTCCATCTCCAGGCCCATATCTCCATCTCCAGGCCCATGTCTCCACTACAAGCCCATATCTCTACTGCAGGCCCATATCTCAACCTCCAGGCCCATATCTCCACTCCAGGCCCAGATCTCCACTTCTAGGCCCATCACTCCATCTCTAGGCCCATAACTCCACTTCCAGGCCTATATCTCCAACTCTGGGCCCCGATCTCCATCCCCGCACTCCCTCCCTCGATTCCCTTCCAGGACTCACCAACACACGCCATGCTGACGACCATGAGCGACATGGTGCTGTCTGTGCAGACAGGCGGCCGCGCCCCAGCTCAGCTCAGCAGCGCACAGGATGTTATTTGGCGCCCTGCCCATGCAGTTTACATGTTGACCACATCATGGGAGGGTGACGTACGCAGGCTCTTTCTACCTTGCATGAGGCCCAGTGGGTGCTCGCTCAAGAGCGGAACATGGCTTCCTGGAAATTGTTCTCACTAGAATTGACACCTTGCGTCCTTCACTACGACCAGACTCAAAAGACGTCTCAGATCCAACCTCTCATACACGAGATGATTGAATTCTGTGCTTACATTAAAGATTTTTGATGTATTTTTGTTTTTATCTGAGATTCAAACTCTTCTTCATATGTAATGTGCAAAATGTCTAACAGGTATTATTAACATTATCAGAGTAATTGTGACAAGAAGCCATTCTAATTTTCCTGCTTGAGTTTCTAGTACTAAACCAGAGGCATCAGAATAGCTTGAACCTGGGAGGCGGAGGTTGCAGTGAGCTGAGCTCAAGCCACTGAACTCCAGCTTGGGTGACAGAGGAAGAGTCTGTCTCAAGAAAAAAAAAAAGCAAACTAAATAACCTATAATAACAAATCAGAGGACTCAGGTTACCAAATTTTAAGGGGTTCTATAAGTTTATATAAAATGCAGCATCCTCATGAGAGGGGATACAGAGAACCACTGGACAGAAAACTGTGTCTAAAATACATCTGTGGATACACAGTCCCTTTATAGTTGACAAAGGCTGCCATGTAGTTTAAGGTGGAATAGAATATTTTCTCAACAAATAACACAGGACCATAGGGTTACACGTAGGAAAAAATAAATCTAAACTTATCCTCACACTATAAAAACACTTCTTATTTTTTATCTTGTTGTTGTAAATTTTTTATGCTTTATTTTTAAGATTGACAAATAAAAATTATATACCATGGTCCTTCACTATACCTGGGTGATTGGTTCCAGGATCCCCATTCAGATACCAAAATCTGCAGATGCTCAAGCCCCTTGCATGAAATGGCATAGTGAAGCTGGGCACCGTGGCTCACGCCCGTAATCCCAGCACTTTGGGAGGCTGAGCTGGGTAGATCACAAGGTCAGGAGTTCAAGACCAGCTGGTCCAACATTCTGAAACCCCGTCTCTACTAAAAATACACACACAAAAAAATTTATCTGTGCAGGGTGGCACGTGCCTGTAATCCTAGGGGAGGCTACTGAGGAGGCTGAGGGAAGAGAATCGCTTGAACCTGGAAGGCGGAGGTTGCAGTGAGTTGAGATCACGCCACTGCACTCCAGCCTGGGTGAGAGAGTGAGACTGTCTCAAAAAAAAAAATAGCATAGCAATTGCATAGAACCCATGCACATCCTCCTGTATACATGAAATCATCTCTTGATTACTTATAATTCCTGACACAGCCTACACGCCACTCAATTTGTGTCGATTCAACATAGTTTTTTGCTTTTTGAAACTTCGGGGATTTTTTTTCTCAAAATATTTTTGATTTATTGCTGATTCAATAAACATGTGTAAACCCCAGAGATATGGAGGAGTGACTGTCTATTTATAGTAGTATGAAAGATGATGTGTTGATACGTGTCCCTGTGGAGATGAGACTAACAAGGCCTATGACTCTACAAATGTTTCATCGTGGAATGACTCTGCCAGCTTTCCAGATCTGCAGAGAGTAAGAATATCACTTGTTCATCTGATTCACCATCCTTGGAACCTCCTATGTGCTGCATCTTTGGATGGAAACTGGAGTCTCAGAGACAATTCAGGCTCCACCCTGCTTCCAGAAGCTCAGAGTCCAGGGGTGAGAACCCAGCGGAGAACAGATGGGGTTATGTGGACGTGGTAATGATAACACCGGAAGCCTTAGGCAAGAAAAGAGTCCCATTGACGAAACCATGAGGGCAGACATGTTTACTTGAAGAATAGAAAACTACATTGAAATTATAAAAAAAATTTATAAGTTTTACTGCTGACAGAAGGCTGAAAGATACTCTGAGGAAAGGTGGAACAACATGAGGAAAGGTGGAATAGCATGTATCTAAGTGCCGTGTTAAGAGGGAGCCTCTTATATGTTTGGAATTGTGAGTTCCTCAGTGTGATCGCAGCCTCAAGTAGACTAGGAAGTAAGCCAGTTAGGTTGGAGAGGTGGGCAGGGGTCAAGTGAAATGGAGAATTGTGGGCTAAGCAAAGGAGTGTGTTTTCTCTCCAGCAGGCAGTGGGGACCTTAGACATTTGTAAGCAAGAGAGAGGCATGTTCAGATTCGTGGTGTGAGGAAGAGCGATGCCCTAAGATGCAGACTCACGCCTTCAGATTCCAGCTGCTGGTACATGGGAGCTGGCAACCCGGTTTTGAGACAGGGCTATTGTCTCCCTAGAAGATCCCATCAAGGCCTGACTGTGGTGCTGGTGGACAGAAGACAACTTTGGATCTGCGCTCAGCATTTGGAAGTTCCGTGTTACACGCTGGTATCTGTTGGGGGTGTCTTGGGCCTCTGAGAAGGGCGAGTGATTTTTCTCTGTGTGAAAACGCAGTGATTCAACTGTGCGTATGTCACCTCCTGAGGGTCTTGTTCATCAGAGTCCTGGAGGGAGGGAAATGCTGAGTGAGGGAGGGTGCTCACATTTTTCAGGACTCTTTGGGAATAAGACTAGCCATGAGGCTGGGCTGAGGAGCACCTACCTCCCTGTTCACTGTTCTGTTCCCTGCAGGCTCTTGGTCCATTACAACAGCATCTGTAGAAGACGGAAGTCGTCAAAACAGCTCGGAGGGCACTTCTGGGTCCTCATTTCATAAGCAGATACCAACATGCAGGGGGAGGCCATAGGTGCCTGAGGTCCCTCAGTTGCCAACAGCAGACTCAGACATTCTATCTCTCTGAGCTCAAGGACCCATCCCATGAATAGCTCTGAGTTCCCATCCCATTGATTCTGTCTCCCACTTTCTGCCTGTCATGGAACCTTCTCCTGGATGTGAGTGGCTGCAGGGGATGTGAGGATATGGTTCAGAATCAGGCAATGGTCTGTGAGCTGAAGGCAGGGGCAGGGAGTCTGGTGCTCTCTCTAGAAAGTCCTGCCTCTGTGGCTCCTGCCTTGGGTCAGGGACCATCCTGCCTGTAAGGAACACACACCTGAGTGCTCCCATCCTGCTTCCCCACATGGCCCTGAGCTCTCTGGCTTCTGCTTCGTGAGACTTACTCTTTTTGTTGGCACACCAGCGATGAAGGAGAAAGAAGAGGAGGATAGCAAAGGGGATGATGACCACTGAGGTCCCAATCAGAGCGTGCAGGTATCTGGAGTTACCTGGAGGAAGACAAGACACCAATAAGAAGCTAATCATAGCAGTTCCTCTATATGAATTGTCTCACATTTCTTGATTGACAGGTAACCACATACAACGTCTCTTTAGGACAAGCACCCAGATGGCGGGAGACCTAGCTTCCTCCTGCTTTCTCAGTTGTAGTAACCATAGAACGTGCTGAGGATACAACTGCTTTAGTTTAGATGTTTGACCACTTCAAACCTCACATTGAAATGTAACCCCCAGGGTGGGAGGTTGGGCCTCTTGGGAGGTGTTTGGGTCATGGAGGTGGATCCATCATGAACAGATCAATGCTGTCCCAAGGAGATGGGGTTAGCAAGTTCCCCCTCTATTAGTTCCTGGAGAGCTGGTTGTTAAAAAGAACTTGGAAGCTCCATCGCTCCCCCTCCCCCTTGCTCCCTCTCTTGCCGTGTGATCTCTGTGGTCTCTGCACAGATAGACCCTCCTTCCCTTCTGCCAGAGCGGGAGCAGCCTGAGGCCGTCACAAGAAATAGATGCTGGTGCCATGCTTCCAGTACAGCCTGCAGAACTGTGAGGCAAACACATTTCTTTTCTTTAGAAGTTACCCAGGCTCAAGTGTTCCTTTAGAGCAACAAAAATGGACTAAGACAGCAAAGTCCTGAGATCAGGAGGAACATCCCAGAACAGCCTGGGCTGTCTTCCTGTTCTTCCTGGAGGAGGACGTCATGCAGTGCTTTAGCTGAGTGCTTCCTGTGGCTCCAGGGTACAAAACCCAGGCTGGGCTGCTTTTTGATTTCCCCCAGATACACTGCATATGGGGTGACTCCACATGTCTCGAGCAGCTTTTCTGAGCCTTGAGGGACTGGCTCACATTGAAATGTAGGCTTCTGTTGTCACTCGCTGCTTATCTGTTAGTAATGAACCTGCCTGTGTAATGTGTTCTCTGTGTGTTCTGTCTCCCTGGAGTGACGGTGAGTGATAGGAATTGGTATAGGCCCAGGTACATTCCAGGAGGTGTTTAGAGTCTTCTCTGGGAAGACTGGATTGGGATTGATACACAGCGAATGTGCTTTACAGTTTCTACCACCACAACCCTCTTGACTCAAAAAAATTACATTCTCCAAGAAAAGAAAGAAAAAATGAAATCAAGATAAAAAAAGTGAAGTAGAACTGACTTAAATCAAACAGCCATGAAATAATGATGTAGCCCAGGAACAACATGCTACTTTTTGTGATCTGCTGAGACATATATTAGGCTGCTATTCCACCCGAGAAGCACGGGGAAGGACCGCCCTCTCCGTCGTTTATTGTTTCAATACAGCCTGTCCTTCTGTGAGTTAGTACGAAATGTGACCAGGGGCTAGTGCTGGCACTGGTCTCTGAGTCCAAGATCTGAGCTCACTCCAAAGAGTATTAGTGTTTACCTCCCCATGATCTATCTGTATCTCCATAGGTGATTGGAAGTAGAGATGAATTGGGGGATTTGGGTGAAGGGGCAAGTTTTATGCCATGAACAGAGCATGTTCTCTATTCCAGGACCTGTGCTGGTGGGTTCAGGAGGCTTTCACATTTTCCATATGATCCCAAGCTCACAGAAAGCCAAATAAGGAAGAGGTTTAACCTGATTGTTTAATGGATAAGATAAAGGGTCAAAGAATTAAACACAGAGAAATAGAAAAATGATGGTTGGTATCCAGTTGCCTTTGTAATTTCTGTGTGTCATAATTATGTATGTTTTATTTTTATTTTTTGAGACAGAGTCCCCCTGTGTCAGGCTGGAGTGCAGTGATGCGATCTCAGTTCAACCTCTGCCTCCAGGGTTGAAGCCATTCTTCTGCTTCAGCCTCCCCAGTCGCTGGGATTACAGGCAGGTGCCAATGCACCAGGCTAATTTTTGTATTTTTAGTACAGACGGGGTTTCACCATGTTGGCCAGGCTGGTCTCAAACTCCTACCCTTAAGTGATCTACCCGCCTTGGCCTCCCAAAGTGTTGGGTTACAGGTGTGAGCCCCCATCCACAGTCTTGTATATTATATTATACTAGGTCCCTTCATTTGCACCACCCCTCATGTGTCTATCGCTCCTCTGCCAGGTATTGATTTAGATGTAGAAAAAAAACACATCTCAGAAAGAAATTAATGAAACAAGGATTAAACTACTAGGAAAAATCAAACCCAGCAAGCCCTCCCTGCAAATGATTCTACCTCACAAGCATAGCTTATATCCATCTTTCATTCATTTAGTGTGTAAATCAACCCTACGTTTCACCAGTGGGGCGGGAATTGCCTTTTCCACGGTCTCCTAGATTCCAGTTACGCACCTGGGCCTCCCTTATTTTCATGTCGGTCACTGTTAATCAGGTAGGGATTCCTAGTTAGCTCTGAGTTGAATCCAAGGGCTGTGAGTATCAAAAACATGCTCCTTGTTCCTCCTTAGTTTCCTGTGTACCCAGTGTGCTCTCCATCTCTCTACAGTTGTCTTGTCATTCTCCCCATCTCATTCCCAGCATTTGAGGCAGAGCCTCTTCCTTGAACTAAGAATGTTTCCACCTTTGTGCCTTCACGGCTGAGAGCTCAGTGTGGAAAATCCTTCCGCCAATCTTCCAAGGGTTGAATCCATTTTTTCCATTAAGGTCACAAATATTATCTGATCAGTGAGACCTTCTCTGTCACCTGAAATTATATACTCAGCATTATCTATTACTTATTTTAAATCCTGGCTGGGCGCAGTAGCTCTCGCCTGTAATCTTTGCACTTAGGGACGCTAAGGCGGTGGGATCACTTGAGATTGGGAGTTTGAGACAGCCTGCACAACATGGTGAAACCTCATTTCTACTAAAAAATATACCAAAAAAATTAGCCGAGTGTGGTGGCGCACAGCTGTAATCCCAGCTACTCGGTAGGCTGAGGCAGGAGAATTGCATGAACCCAGGAGGCAGAGGTTGCAATGAGCTGAGATTGTGCTACTGCACTCCAGCCTGTGGAACAGAGAGAGACTCTACTCAAAAAAAAAAAAGAAAACAAAAAACACACACACACACAAAAAACCCCAGATTTGGTGCACAGATGCTTCCCAATGGATCATTCATTTATTGGTACCCTTGTGCATTCATTCTCTGCCCTCGCATTTACCCATCTGCAATATCAGCGTCCCAAGAGCAGAGGCCAAATGCATCCTGTTTACCATTTGTGGAAGGCAGGAGAATGCTGCCCCACCCCCAAAATGTCCCTGTCTTAGCCTCCATAGCTTGTGAATATGTTATTTTACAGGAAAGGAGGAATGAAGATTGCAGATGGCATTACGGTTGCTAATCAGCTGAACTTAAAAAGAGGGTACGCTGGATGATTTTAGGGAGATTGAGATGGATTATCTTGGTGACCCCAATAGAATCCCAAAGTCCTTAAAAGATGAGGAAGAAGGCAGAGCAGGATTCAGAGAAAAAGGTATGGGTAAAGAAGAAGAGTCTGAATGATGCCATGTGAGACGTGACCAGCCTTTGTGGGCTTTGAGGAAGGAGGAAGGAGGAAGGGGACCAGGGGCCCAGGAACGTGGGAGCCTCTAGGAGCTGGGAAACGTTAAGGAGCAGATTCTTGCTTGGAACCTTAAAAAGAAATCCAGCCTTACTGTCCCTTTGATATCAGCCCAGTGAAATGCAGTTCATACTTCTGAGTTACAGCACTGTGAGATAATTAAGAAAAACATGTTTTCATCCACGAAGCTTGTGGAAATTTGTTATGGCAACAATAGGAAAAGATTCCACACTGCACAGCCAGAGCATGGGGCATTGGCTGAACGAGTGAGTGAGTGGAAGTGTCGTGTGCATAAATAAGCTAAATTCTCTCTTACTGCACGTCTCTTGCTCTGCTGAGTCAACCAGGGTTGCATCTGGTACACTGCTGATACGAATGCAAATTAGTACAGCCATTACAGAGGAGAAGAGTATGGAAGTTCCTCAAAAAATAAAATGAGGTCGGGCACAGTGGTTCATGCCTGTAATCCCAGCACATTGGGAGGCCGAGGTGGGTAGGTCACTTGAGGTCAGGAGTTGAAGAGCAGCCTGGCCAATATAGCGAAACTCTGTCTCTACTAAAAATATAAAAATTAGCCGAGTGTGGTGGTGGGAGCCAGTAACCCAGCTACTTGGGAGGCTGAGGCTGGGGAATCTCTTGAATCCTGGAGGTGGAGGTTGCAGTGAGCCCAGATGGCACCACTGCACTCCAGCCTGGGCAACAAGAGTGAAACTGTCTAAAAAAAACAAAAACAAAAACAAAAACCATAAAACAAAATGTAAAAAGACACTTCCAGAGGATCTAGCAATTCCATGACTGGGTGTAAACCCAAAGGAAAGGACATCAGCGTATCGAAGTGACATCTGCACTCCCATGACTGTTCCAGCAGTGTTCACAGTAGCCAAGATGTGGATCAACCTACCTGCCCATCAGTGGGTGAATGGATGGAGAGAATGTGGTACACACACACAATAGGGACAACTCATCCATAGAAAGAGTAACATCCTGTCATTTACAGCCACATGAATGGAACTGGAGGTCATTACAAGTATTTCCATTTCTCACTCATATGCAGGAGCTAAAAGGTGGATCTCACAAAGGTAGAGAGTAGAATGGTGGCTACCAGAGGCCAGGAAGGGAAGGGTGGAGGGTAAAAAAAAAAGAATACTAATTAATTAATTAATTAATTTTGAGAGAGTGTCTCTCTCTGTTGCCCAGGCTGCAGTGCAGTGGCATGATCTCAGCTCACTGCAACCTCCGCCTCCTGCAATTAAGTGCAACTCCTGCCCAACCCTCCCAAGTAGCTGGGACTACAGGCATGTGCCACCATGCTCGGCTAATTATTATCATTATTATTATTATTTTGTATTTTTAGTACAGATGGATTTTCCCCATGTTGGCCAGGGTGGTCTTGAGCCCCTGATCTCAAATGATCCACCTGCCTTGGCCTCTCAAAGTGTTGGGATTACAACAGTGAGCCACCGTGCCCAGCCTATAAATGTATTTATGAACAGTAGACTTCACACTTAAAAATGGTAAAGGTGGTAAATTACATAGGTATATTTCACCTCAATAAATATTTCTTCAAACAAAAAGAAAAGGGTGTAGGCGTTGCTGGTGATGACATCTCTCTGTGGGTGACAGGCCAGGATGGGCTTCTGGGAAGTGGGTAAGGTTGAGGGGCTGAGAGAACCTCTGATCTCCCCAGGCAGAGCCCAGTCTCCCTCCTCTGGGTCTGTTCTGACCTCTTTCTCCATCTGCCTGGGTGCCTGGAACCCTGATCAAGGGCCTCCTTGCAGGCCATACAGGAGGGTTTGGAGGTGCCCTGTCTGCCATCCTGCCCCCTGACCCCGCCCTTACACCCATGCTGTGTGTTCTGTCTCGGCATCTGTCCATGCTTCTCTCCATCATCAGCAGGAAGCTCCTCAGCTATGGCTCTAGGATCACAAGACATGGGACAGGCATGGTGTTTTCTCACCTGTGACAGAAACGGGCAGTGGGTCACTCGGGTCTGACCACGCGTGGGGCAGGGCACGGAAAGAGCCGAAGCATCTGTAGTTCCCTCCGTGGGTCACAGGGCCCAGAGGGAAGTTGGCCTGGAATGTTCCATTGACCCTCAGCACCGCAGTGAGCCTAAGTTCACCGGCCTCTGCCTCCCTGGATAGATGGTAAATGTCAAACAAGCTCCGGGAGCTGCAGGACAAGGTCACATTCTCTCCTGCCTGAACCGTGGGGCCCGGCTGGGCTGAGAGAGAAGGTTTCCCATATAGACCTGGAAGGAGAAGAGGTGGTTTCCTCAGGGAGGTTCTTCGTTGTCACAGCTCTCCTCACACCTGAGCTGAGAACTCACTCCCCTGCTCTATGACTTAATGCTCTCTTTCTCTCTCTCACCCTCCACCCCCATCTCTCTTCATGTCTATTTCCTCCTTCCACCTTCTCTGTCTCTCTAGGTCTCTGACCTCACTTCTCCATCCCTAGCTATGTTTTCTTTTTTTGTACCATTTTATTCTCTCTGACCCTCCTTGGACTGGTTGACTTGATCTTCCTCTTTCTTTAATTCTGAGTCTCTCACTTTCTGTCTTGCTCATAACTTTCTGCATATTTCTATCTACTATCTATTGATCGATCTATCATTTATCTATGTATGTATCTATCATCTATCATCATCTGTGTATCTATGACCTATCTCTCTGTTATCTATCATCTATCAATCAATGTATGTATGTATGCATCTATCCATCTATCATCATGTGTTTATCTTTCTATCTCTCTATATCTATTTATATATCATCTGTCTGTCTTTCTACTTGTCTATCTATATCATCTATCAGTCATTCATCATCTATTTGTCTATCACCTGTCTCTCTATTATCTATCATCTACCTTTTATCTTTCATCTATCTATATCTATCTATCCATCTATCATCTGTCTCTCTCCATCTCCTTGTCTTTCTCTGCCTCTCAGTCTCTCTAGTTCCCTTTTGGAGTCTCTGCAATCCATCCCCACATCTTTATCTTTCCCTGTCTTTGTGCCCCTCCCTCAGGGCTCTGATTTTAGGGCTTTTCTCTGCTTCCTTCCATCATACGCTCCACTTCTCTGCCCTCTTTTTCTATCTCTTTATGTGTCTGTGAGTCTCTCAATTCCCTTCTTCTGGCTCATTCTGTGTGTGTGTTCATGTCTTTGCTTTTTGATTTCCCTGATTTCACTCCGTGTCTCTCTGTGGGCTTTTGTTCTCAGTAATCCTATAACATGTGGTGCTATTTGAATATGAGCCTCAGAATCCAGTATGGGGACTCCAGGAACTCACAACATACAGGGGTTGGTGTTCTGCTCCCTCACCTGGGGCCATGGTGTCCTGCGACGACGACAGCTCCACTGCACGGAAGGCAGAGGTTTAAGAATAAACACAGCATCTGTAGGTGCCACCAGCCTGGGGCCACACGGCCCAACTCAGGCCAGATAGATGTGTCTCTTTGGGTTCTCCTGGGAGAGAACACTTTGTAGAGGTAAAACAGAATGGAACCTTCTAACCTGTGCCTGGTCTCTGAACAAAGTCAGCATAGAAGGACACCTCTCTCTGGGATATATCTGTCTCTCTGTGTCTTCTTTACCTCTTTATCTCTTTTTCTAACACCTTGTATGGCCCCTGTGTCTGGCTTCTATGTTATGACATGAGGTCTGTACTTGTGTCTCCTGTTTCTCTGCCTTTGTTGGTACAGACCTCACCAAGTCACTTTCTCTCCATAGGAACCCCACACTCATCTTCCTCATGACCACCTGGGGCTTCCAGTCCTAGATCATTCACTCCATCTCCCAGCAAGGGTGAGAGGCAGGTCTGTATTCTCTCACCTACGACCACGATGTCCAGAGGGTCACTGGGAGCCGACAACTCATAGGGTAAGTGAGTGACAGAACCAAAGCATCTGTAGGTCCCTGCAAGGGCAGGTGTCATGGGACCCATGGAATAGTTGACCTGGGAACCCGCATCGTGGAGCTGTCCAATGAGGCGCAAGGGGTCCTCAGTGATCCCCTCTCTGTGCAGAAGGAAGCGCTCAAACCTGACATCTGACCAACATTGCAGGATGACCGTCTCTCCCGATTTCACCAGGGGACCTGGGTGGGCCAGGAGGGAAGGTTTTCTGTGGACTCCTAAGAAGAGAGGTTGTGAGTTCAGAAGGCGTCTCCCTTTCTCATCCCATTCATGGGACCTGAAATAAGTGAGGCTTCCCCTCCATGGTGTCTATCTCTCTCCTTCCTCTCTGTGTCTCCGTGTTCTTTTGTGCCCATAACCCCTGTTGCAGGTCCCTCCATCTGTCTCCCTCCCTCTTCCCTGTCTCTCTGTCTCTAGTAGCCCTGATTCCCTTCCCACTGTGCTCAGTGTCACCTCTTATGCTGTTGTATCTGTTTCCCACTAATCTCTTTCCTGGTGTTTATGTGGGGGTGGAAGAGGAACCACGACAGGCTGCATGTCCAGGCTCTTAGCAGCCTGAATCAATCTCTTTTGGACAGATTGGAAAGGCTGGCAGGAGGTACGAACTCATCAGTAAGGCAGGCATCAGTGTCCCTGTTCCTGATGGGGATTGGGAGCCTCTCCTGTCATGTCTGTGCCTTCTCCATGGCCCCAGCTTCCATAGGGTGGCCCCTGGTGCTGGTTCCAGGAGCATCAACCCCTCCCTATGTGGATCGAGCCTGGTGGTAGCATCAGTATCCCACCCATGCTAAAATCAGTGTAGCCAACCTTCTCCTTGTTTGGTTTCTTAACTTGTGCTTCACCTGGGTTCCTGTGTTGGTTTCCTGTTGCTGCTGGAGAAAATTGTCACAAACATGGGGCAAGAGAGAATACAATGACCCCTTCCACTTCTGGAGAACAGAAATCGGACCCAGTTCTCTCTGGGCTAAAATCAAGGCATCTACAGGGCTGTGTTTCCTCTGGAGACTCAGGGAAGAATCAGTTCCCTTGACTTCTCCAGCCCTTAGAGGCCAACTGCCTTTGTGGCTCATGGCCTTCCCCCATCTTCAAAGCCCGCTGTGGCTGATGGAGTCTCCCTCCCACGACGTTGCTCTAACCCCACTTTCCTCTTCCTCCTCCTCTCATGAGGACCCTTGTGATTACTCTGAGCACAGCAGGACAGTCCAGGCTGTCTCCCCATCGCAAGGTCAACCCATCAACAACCTGAGCTCCATCTTCCCCTTCAGTCCCCTGCCCTATGACATAAATAGTCACAGGGTTCATGGATTACCATGTAGCCATCACTGGGGACAATTATTCTTCCCACCACAGCAACTATTTCTCTGTACTGAATCCCCCTTTACCCCAAATACAGTCTGGGCCTGGATGATTGGACCCTGATGGACACCCCCACCAGAAGCTCTGGGATTCAGGAGGTGGGACAGTGAGAAGCCCAGACAGAAAGCCTCTGACCTGTGACCATGATCACCACAGGGTTGCTGGGTGCCGACCACCCAGTGGGGGAGTGTGGGTGTGAACTGCAACATCTGTAGGTCCCTGCATGTGCTGGGGTCACAGGGCCCATGAGAAAGCTGTTCCGGAATATTCTGTTGTAGAGCTCAGGGACAGGCATCCCGTCTTCTTTGGACAGACTGAATTCGTTAAACCCAAGACGAGAGCGACACTGAAGAGTCACATGTTGTCCTTCAGACACCACAGTGCCGGGCCAGGCAGAGAGGAAGGGCTTGTCCTGACCACCTGGGGGAGAAGGAGGCACTACCTTAGAGAGGAGGATGTGGAGCCGCCCCTCCCTCCCTGTGCTCAGAAGATTCTCCCATTTCCACGTTTCTAAGGCTCCTACCACACCTGGGTGCCCAGGGCTACAGGAAGGACCCATCCCGCATAGACATGGCGTCTCCCTACAGCAAGTGTCAGCTGAGAACTTTGAGCAGGTGCTGAAGAAGCGACTCTTACTAGATTTTAACACTGCAAAATTACTTACATAAAAGAACACAAGGTAGACACAGGATGGAGGGCATGATCAGCTAATGCATGAACCATAATAAACAACTGAGCCCCTATTAGAAGATCTGGAATGTCAGGGTCATGACTGTGGTTCCCCCACCTCTTAGGTAGAATGACAGCAGCCACATTGCAGCCCCTACCGTCATGGAAACGCTGGAGGGTGTGAGTTATGCTCTTGTCCTCAGAGGCCTGTTGTTCCTTGCACTGCTTCTCTCCCTTCCTCTGCCGGTGACACCACTTCCTCCCTGCACACCACTCCTTTGAGCACTTCAGTCTCCCCCTGGGTCCCCACAGACTCAGCCAAGGGAAAGAAAGGCCGGGGAGGGCTAGGACAGAACTGTGGCGAAGCTTCCCCTGGCTTCCTTTTCCTAGTTCATGAGAGATTCCCACATGGCTTCCCATGGTCAGCCCATCAGTCAACCCCCTGTGTCGCCTGCCTCCCGTTTCAGGAACATCATCTTATGTGGGGAGATGACAACCTAAGGTTTGGGGGAAGGACTCACCCACATGTGGCCAGGGCCCCTCCAGCAAGAAGAACCCTGGAAAGAAAGATCATGATGGATGATCCATCTGTACATCACCTCCAGGCCCATATCTCCACTCCAGGCCCATATCTCCACTTCCGTCCTATATCTCTACTCCAGGCCCATATCTCCACTCCAGGCCTATATCTCCACCTCTGTCCTATATCTCTACTCCAGGCCCATATCTACACTCCAGGCCCATATCTCCACCTCCAGGCCTGTATCTCCACCTCCAGGCCCGTGTCTCCATTCCAGGCCCATATCTGCACTCCAAGCCAACATCTCCACTCCAGGCCCATATCTCTACTCCAGGCCCATATCTACAGTTCCAGGCCCATATCTCCACCTCCAGGCCCATATCTCCACTCTAGGCCCATATCTCCACCTCCAGGCCCGTATCTCAATTCCAGGTCCATATCTGCACTCCAAGCCAATATCTCCACTCCAGGCCCATATCTACAGTTCCAGGCCCATATCTCTACTCCAGGCCCATATCTCTACTTCAGGCCCATATCTACAGTTCCAGGCCCATATCTCCACTCCAGGCCCATATCTCCACCCCAGGCCCATATCTCCACTCCAGGCCTATATCTCCACTCCAGGCCCATATCTCCACTCCAGGCCCATATCTCCACTCCAGGCCCAGATCTCCACCCCACCGCTCCCTCCCTCGATTCCCTTCCAGGACTCACCAACACACGCCATGCTGACGACCATGAGCGACATGGTGCTGCCGGTGCAGACAGGCGGCTGCGCCCCAGCTCAGTTCAGCAGCACACAGGATGTTGTGAGGGGCTCATGCAGTTTACATGCTGACCACATCATGGGAGGATGACGTATGCAGGCTATTTCTACCTTGCATGAGGCCCAGTGGCTGTTTGGTCAAGAGCAGAACATGGCTTCCTGGAAATTGTTCCAACTAGAATTGACACCTTGCATCCTTCACTATAACCAACTCAAAACACGTCTCAGATCCAATCTCTCATACAGGAGATGACTGAATGCTTGGCTTACATTAAAGACTTTTGATGTATTTTTGTTGTTTTTATCTGAGATTCAAACTCTTCTTCATGTGCTATTTTCCCCAGGCTGTTCTTTGACTTCAGAGTTCAAGCAATCCTCCTGCCCCAGCATTTCTAGCAGCTGGCAGTATGTCACAATCTGCCACACCCAAGTCACAACTTTTAGAACTTTTTTTTTTTTTGAGATGCAATCTCACTTCGTCACCCAGTTTGGAATGCAGTGGTGAGACCTCGGCTCATTGCAGCCTCCACCTCCCAGGTTCACGCAATTCTCGTGCCTCAGCCTCCTAAGTAGCTGGATTTACAGGCACCCACCACCACGCCCACCTAATTTTTGTACTTTTAGTAGAGAGGAGGTTTCTCCATGTTGGCCAGGCTGGTCTTGAACTCCTAACCTCAAGTGATCTGTCTACTTCAGCCTCCCAAAGTGCTGAGATTACAGGTGTGAGCCACCATGCCTGGCCGGGACATTCTATATGTGTGCGTATGTGTGCATTTATATACATATGGTTATACACACACACACACACACACACACACACCCTAAGCACTCACATATATAGTTGTTTCAAATTTTAAAAAATATAAATTTTGTATTTTTCTTTCTTTTTCTCACATTTGTGTTTCTATGACACCATATACATATTGAATTTTATAGCTCTATTTTATTCTTTTGGATTGCAGTTTAATAGTCCATGCATAACTTTATCAACATGTAATTATCCATTCTTTTTATCATGGACATTTGTGTTGTTTCCGGATTTTCTCTTTTATAACTCGGGCCTTGATAATCGTGTTTCTGTGTGATCCCTTGCATACATATGCTGAATTAATTAGACATATTTACCTAGAAATGAAATTATTGGTTTTGGGTGCAAGTTGGTGTTGAGCTTAACCAGGAAGTGCCAAAATATTTCCATCATGACCAAATGTGGCCTGGAAAGTTTTTTGGGGTCAATTTTCCTGTTTCTTCTAAGGAACAAAATTGATGTCACTGATTTTTCTGTCCTGTTTGTCATTTATGAATGTATGTACATATGCACGTATATATTTGCTTGCCATTTTATGTTTTTCCTCGACGTTACTTTGGAATTAATTTGCTGATGTGTAGTATTTCTGCAAGTGAAAGTTACCTATTTACTCAGCTCTTCCTTCTTTTCTAACACAGACATTTGAGGCTTATTGTCCCTTAACGCTGTTCTATCTGTATCCCCAGTCATTTGCCGAGATGTGTTTTCATTTTTAATTGATACAAAATATTTTCCACCTTTCTTTGAAATGTTTTTCTTCCACTCATTGTTTATTGCTATGTGTGTTTATTAATTTTAAAATATTTGATAATTTCCCCAGCATTTCCTTGTTGTACATTTATAATTTAATTCAACTGTTTCATCTATCATATTACCTATGATTCAGCATTTAAAAATTTATTTTGGTGAATGTTCCAGGGGTGCTAGACAAGTTTGTGGATTAGGAAGATTTGAGGTGGATGTTTTCTAAATGTCAGTTAAGAAAAAAATCATTCAAATGTTTTTCTTTATTTAAAAAAAATAGAGACGGGGTCTCACTATGGTGCCCAGGCTGGTCTCAAACTCCTGGCCTCAAGTGATCCTCCCATTTTGGCCTCCCAAAGTGCTAGGATTATTGAAATTATTAAATGTTTCATATCAACACCCAACCTTATGCACCCGCCGCCTACACAAATGTTTTTCAAGTCTTTCATATGCTTAATAATTTTCTGTGTACTTGTTCTGGAAGTGAGGTGAATGTTGCTATCTCTAGCTGCAATTTGGATGTGATTGATTATGTTTTGAATTATGCCTTTAATTTAATGTGTTTTGAGGTTCCAGCTTTAAGTGTGTAGGCATTTAGGATGATTATGTCTTATTTATGAATTTGCCTCTTTGTCATTATGAAGTACTCCTCTTCATATCTCCATATATCTCTTCTTTGTATGTGCATGGTGAAATATTTCATTCTTTGAGTTAAGAAACTTCTATTGAGGAATACTTTTTATTACAAACATTTACCTATTCTATGTATACAACTGACTAGAAGCATATTTTGCACTGGGCATTATCATGACAAGGTAATGTCATTCTTTCAATATTTACATCTTGTGGATTAGTATTTGAAGTGCAGCTTATGTAGACAGCATAAGGTTGGGTGTTGATATGAAACATTTAATAATTGCACACGTATTTGCCTCTTGGGATACTTCCACTTTTTTGAATTTCAAGTTACTAAATGGTATCATTAATCTTTGCTTCAAGAGCTTAACATTTATTGTAGAACAATGCTTCATGTAATAAATTGTGAGACATTTTTAATGGCACCTTTATTGCAGGAAAATGTTTTCCTTTTCAGGTTGAAAGATTCTAGTTTGAAATATTTTCTTGTAGCACTTTAAAAATGTTGGTCCACCTGTTTCTTACTTTCATAGTTTTGAATACAAAGTTTGCTGTCATTCTTGTATTTCTTCTTCTGTTTTTTATTTATTTATTTTTGACAGAATATCTTGCCGTCTCACCCAGGCTGGAGTGCAGTGGCATGATCTTGGCTCACTGCAACCTCTGCCTTCCAGGTTTCAGCAATTCCTGCCTCAGCCTCCTGAGTAGCTGGGACTACAGGCATGCGCCACCATACCCAGCCAATTTTTTTTTTTGTATTTTTTTTTTGTAGAGATGAAGTTTTGCCATATTGGCCAGAACTCCTGACCTCAAATGATCCACCTGCTTTGGCCTCCCAAAGTGCTGGGATTACAGGTGTGAGCCACTGTGCTCAGGCTATTTATTCCTTTTTATATAATATGAATTCACATTCATACATACCAGGGGTTAGGATTTCAACAAACGTTTCTGGGGGAGACCACTCAAAACACAGCACTCATCCTTGGTTATTTCCAGCCATGGAGCCTGTATCAATATCCTGGTGAATTATCTAAGCTGTCCACCTACCTACCCCAAATCCTCATGGTCACATAAAAGGCTAGTATAGTATAATAATTTTTCTTTCCCTGCTTATCTACAGTGATGAAGAAACGAATATTCAAAGGGAAAAATCTTAGCTTTAGGTATAGGGTAATTCTTCTTCCTATTTTTAAATAACTTCAACCTTTACTGTAGATTAAAGGTATGCATGCAGGTTTGTTACATAGGCATATTGTGTGACTCTGAGGTTTGTGGTTCCAACAATGCCATCACCCAGGCAATGAGCATAGAATCCAACAGGTGTTTCTTCAGCCTATACCTCCCTACTCCTCCCCCCATCTGTAGTCCTCGGTATCTGTTGTTTCCATCTTTATGTTCATGTGTATTCAATGTTTGGTTCTCAGTTATAAGTGATAACATGTGGTATTTGGTTTTCTGTTCCTGGGTTAGTTCACTTAGGAGATTGACCTCCTGCTACATTCATGTTGCTGCAAAGGACATGATTTCATTATTTTTTATGGCCATGTAATGTTCCATGTGTATATGTAGCACATTTTCTTTAACTAATCCACTGTTGGTGAGCACTTAGGTTGACTGCAAATCTTTGCTATTCTGAATTGCACAGCAATGAATATACTAGTGCATGTGTCTTTTTGACATAGTTAATTACCTTCCTTTTGGTATATACCCAGTAGTGGGATTGCTTGATTGAATAGTAGTTCTATTTTAAGTTATTTGAGAAGTCTCCAAACTGCTTATCACATTGGCTGAACTAGTTAACATTCCCACCAAGAGTGTATAAGTGTTCCCTTTTCTCCACAATCTTGTCAGCATCTGTTATTAAAAAAAACAAAAAACTTTTTAGTAATTGCTTCTGCTTCTCTGATTGTTGTGAGATGGTATCTCACTGTGGTTTTAATTTGCATTTCTCTGATGATTACTGATAATAAGCATTTGTTCATATGTTTTTTGGCCATGTGTACATCTTCTTTTGAGAAGTGTCTGTTCATGTCATACTTAATTGAGGTTTTTTGGTTTTCTGCTTGTTGATTTGTTTACATTCCTTATAGATTCTGGATATTAGAACTTTGTCAGATGCATAGTTTGCAAATATTTTCTCCCAGTCTGTAGGTTATCTGTTTACTCTGTTGATACTTTCGTTTGCTGTGCAGAAGCTCTTCAGTTGAGTTAGGTCCCAATTTCTGTCTTTGTCACAATTGGTTTTGGGGAGTTAGCCATAAATTCTTTGCCAAAGTCTATCTTGAGAAGGATATTTCCTAGGTTTTCTTCTAGAATTTTAATATTTTGAGGTTTTACATTTAAATCTTTAAACTATCTTGGGTTAATTTTTGTATATAGTGAGAGTTAGGGGTCCAGTTCTATTATTTTGCATATGAGTAGTCAGTTATCCCAGAACTATTTATTGAAGAAAGGGTACTTTCCACATTGCTTGTTTTTGTCAATTTTTTCAAAGATGATTGTAGGTATGTAGCCTCATTTCTGGGTTCTCTATTCTGTCTCATTGGTCTATGTGTCTGTTTTTGTAGTAGTATCATGCTGTTTGGGTTACTATAGCATTGTAGTATAGTTTGAAGTTGGGTAATGTGATGCCTGGGCTTTGTTCTTTGTGCTTAGGATTCCTATGTGTATTCAGGCTCTTTTTTTGGTGCCAAATACATTTTAGAATAAATTTTTATAATTTCGTGAAAAATGACATTGCATTTTGAAATGGATAGCATTGAGTCTGCAATTTGTTTTTGGAAGTATGGCGATTTTAACTATTTGTTCTCCTAATTCATGAGCATGGAATATTCTTCCATTTGTTTGTATCATTTCTTATTTCTTTCAGAAGTGTTTTGTAGTTCTCCTTGTAGAGAATTTTCACCTTCTTGGTTAGATGGATTCCTAGGTATTTTATTTTCTTTGTGGCTAGTGTAAATGGAATTGTGTTCTTGATTTAGTTCTCAGCTAGAATGTTAGTGGTGCATAGAAATGTTACTAATTTGTGTACATTTTTTTAATCCCGAAACTTTATTGAATTTGTTTATCAGTTTCAGGAGCCTTCTGACAGAGTCTTTAGGGTTTTCTATGTATAAAATTATTTCATCAGCAAAGAGAGACAGTATCACTACTTCTTTTCCAATTTTAATGCCTTTTATTTCCTTCTCTTGCCTGATTGCTTTGGCTAGGACTTCCAGTACCATGTTGAATTAAAATGGCGGGAGTGGTCATCCTGGTCTTGTTTCGGTTCTCAAGGGGTATGGTTCCAGCTTTTGCCCATCAATATGATGTTGGCTGTGGGTTTGTCATAGATGGCTCTTAATATTTTGAGGTATGTTCCTTTGATGCCTATTGACAGTTTTTATCATGAAGGGATGTTGGATTTTACAGAAAGCTTTTTCTGCATCTATTGAGATGATCATATAGTTTTTGTTTTTAATTATGTTTATGAGGTGAATCACATTCGTTGACTTTGTAGGTTGAACCAACCTTGCATCCCAAAAATAAAGCTTACTTGATCATGTGAATTAACTTTTGATGCACTGACAGATTCAATTTGCTAGCATTTTGTTGAGGATTTTATGTCTATGTTCATTAAGGATATTTAGTTGTAGTTTTCTTTTTTTCATTATGTCTCTGACAGATGTTGGTATCATGGTGATGATGGCTTCATAGAATGAGTTAGGAAGAAGCCCCCACTCCTTGATTTTTTCCAAAAGTTTCAGTAAGATCGGTATCAGTTCTTCTTTGTATGGCTGTTGGATTTTGGCTGTGAATCCATCTGGTCCTGGGCTATTTTTAGTTAGTAGGGTTTTTATTACTGATTAAATTTCTGAACTTGTTATTGGTCTGTTCAGGTTTTCACTTTCTTCCTGGTTGAAATATGATAAATTTTGTGTTACCAGGAATTTATCCATTTCTTCTAGGTTTTCTAGCTTGTTTGTATAGAGGTGTTCATAATAGTCTTTGACGATCTTTTCTATTTCTGTGGGATTGTTCGTAACATTGTTTTGTCAGTTCTATTTGTGTTTATTTGGATCTTTTCTCTTTTTCTTTGTTAATCTAGCTAACAGTCTATGAATTTTGTTTATTTTTTTTCAAAGAAAAACTCTTGGTTTTATTTATCTCTTGTATGGACTTTTTGGTCTCAATTTATTCAGTTCTCTCTGACTTTAGTTATTTCTCATCTTTTGCTGGCCTTGGGTTTGGACTGTTCCTTTTTTTTAATAGTTCCTCTAGATGCAGTGTTAAGTCACTAATTTGAGATCTTTCTAAACTTCTGATGAGGCATGTATTGCTATAAATTTTCCTCTTATCACTGCTTTAACTGCATCCCAAAGGTTTTGGTAAGTTTGTTTCTATTTTTATTAATTTTAAATAATGTTTTGTGATTTCTGCTTTAATTTCATTGTTCACCCAAGAGTTCTCAAGGGGTACAGTTCCAGCTTTTGACCATTCAATATGATGTTGGCTGTGGATTTGTCATAGATGGCTCTTAATATTCATTCAGAAACAAGTTGTTAAATTTCCATGTTTTTCTGTAGTTTTGAGAGATCATCTTGGTATTTTTTTCTATTTTTATTGTGTGCCTTGTTATGATTTTGATTCTTTGAATTTATTGAGACTTGCTTTGTGGCCAGTCTTAGAATATGATATGTTTTTTGTGTGTGCAGATAAGAAGAATCTATATTCTGCAGTTGTTGGGTGGAGTACTCTGTAGATGTCTATGAGGTCCAATTGGTCAAGTGTTGTCTTTAAGACCAGAATTTCTTTGTTAGTTTTCTGTTTTAGTGATTCATCTGACGTTGTTAGTGGGATACTGAAGTCCCTTACTATTATTGTGTGGCTGTCTAACTCTTTTCATAGGTGAAGAATAACTTGTTTTATGAATCGGGGTGCTCCAAATTTGGGTGCATATATATTTAGAATAGTTAAGTCTTCTGTCAAATTGAACCCTTTATCATTTTGTAATGCCCTTCTTTGTCCTTCCTGATTGCTGTTGATTTAAAGTGTGTTTCATGTGATATAAGAATAGGAATGCCTTCCTTTTTTTTGTTTCCTGGTTGCCTAGTAAATATTTCTTCATCCTTTTACTTTGAGCCTGTGGGTGTCATTACATGTGAGATGGGTCTCTTGAAGACAGCAGGCAGTTGGCTCTTGGCTTTTTATCCACGTTGCCACTCTATGCCTTTTATGTGGGGAATTTAGGCCATTTACATTTCTTCTCCTGATATATCCTTTTTATATTTTTATGATTGCCTTTTAAAATATATTGAATGGTTGTAATTCCAGGGAAATGTCTTTCAGAACAGTATTTATTCCCATCTACATGTTTTGGAGAGTGCACTAGGGGACATTGAAGTTTATTTCCTGAAAAGAGTTTAATTTTAAAATGTATTTTATTTAATAACTCAATGATTCAGGGAATGTCTAGGTATTTCAGAGATTGTTTTAGACAGTTTGTTTTCTTGTGATATGTGACCACTTCATCTAAGCTGAATAATGTCTTCATAATGTCCACTTAGAATCTTTTGAATTCTGTAGGATCTGTACTGATGTCATTGTTTCCTTTCTGATATTGGTAATTTTCCTGGGGTAGGATTCTTAGCTCCTCCTGAGGTCCTGCCTCTAAAATTCAGGGAACAATGAGTCAGATTAGTACTCTGATTTCAAAGGGAAAGCTGATCATCTACCATTTTTTGTTTATGTAAATGGACACATTAACATCCCTTGTCTGAACCTTAGTTACCTTGTTTGGAGCATTTTGCTATAAATCTCACTTCTCAGAGTGGTTGTGGGGCTTGATGTGGCTGGGGTATGGGATGGCTTAAACATAATTTATTTCCAGACCAGGTTAAGGCATGAAGGGGTTGGGACTTGTTAGAATCCTGTTGTCGGACTCCACAGTAAGGGTAGACATTTGAGGCACCCAATCAAAAACCTCAGTTGTTCCTAGCACTGAGAAATTTGATAGAATGTTTCTAAAACATTATTCATGGTCTAATGCACAAAAAGTAAAGTGATAGCCCTGGAAGTAGACAGGGAACCATAAGAAAAAAGAGAGAGCAAAGCTCAGTGGTCACCAGTGCCTGGGACCATCAAGGGGTTATTAAGGAGGAAGTTTCCACCTCTGTGGGGAACAGAAGAGGCTCCCTAGGGTCCACACACACAGGGAGTGAGCCAAGACTCTGGGCGAGGCTGGAAGCTCTGGGTCTCCTTCTGTGAGATTTTCTTTTTTTTTTTTGAGATGGAGTCTTGCTCTGCCACCCAGGCTAGAGTGCAACGGCGCGATCTCGGCTCATGGCAACCTCTGCATAAAGTGGTATGTATTTAAGGCATGCATTAGACAAATTACTAAGTATTTACTAGATAAGAAAAAATTATATCTGAATCTTTTCAAATTGCCGTCTTATGCATTATATTCTCTTTTTATAGTGCAATTTCTTAATAGTTAATGCCAGAAGATTTTTTTTTCTTCCTTTCTTTCTTTCTTTTTTTTTTTTTTTTGAGACAGAGTCTCACTCTGTTGCCAGGCTGGAGTGCAGTGGCACGATCTCGGCTCACTGCAACCTCCGTCTCTCGGGTTCATGCCATTCTCCCGCCTCAGCCTCCTGAGAAGCTGGGACTACAGGCACCCTCTACCATGCCCAGCTATTTTTTTTTTTTTTTTTGTATTTTTAGTAGAGACGGGGTTTCACCATGTTCGCCAGGATGATCTCTGTCTCTTGAACTCGTGATCCACCTGCCTTGGCTTCCCAAAGTGCTGGGATTACAGGCATGAGCCACTGCACCTGGTCGCCAAAAGATATTTTTAAAAACCTAAATGCCACTTGAAATGAATAAGACCCTCAATAATTCATGGGATATACATGTGAACTTATGACATATGATGAAATAAGCAGGTTACAAAATTGTAATATATCAAGCAAGGTAGAAAGCCATGGCAGAAAAAGAGACAAGCATTTTCAAGATAAGGAATGAAAGAGGGGAAACAGTACTATTGATTTTACAGATTTTACAAAGATATCTTAGGTGTGTTTTCCTAAATAATAAATGTACCCTCCTTTTGACCTTTATGTAATGAAATAACCATGCACACATTTTCAAATAATACTTCATTTACTTGACTTTATGCTTGAAAATTGAAGTATGGTGCTGTTTGTTATTTTCATTTATGCATTTTACTACCTTGTAATATTCCACTGAGTCTATTTACCACACTATGTTTATTTTTTTCGTAGGTGGACTTTGGTATTTTATAGCTTTGGCTAATAGGAACAGCATTCCTATAACAGTTGTGAGTGTATCATGACACATAAGTAGACATTTATCTCTAGGGTACATAATTAAGTACATAATTAAGAAGGGTCACAGCCATGTGCCTCCTCTTTTTAACTAGATAATTCCAATACACTTCCTTAATTGATTAAAGCAATTTGTACTCTTACTATTAATGTACTAAAATTCTACATGTTCAATATTCTTTCCAAAAAATGATTTTGCTACTTTTTTCTTTTCTTGAGACTGAGTCTTGCTCTATCACCCAGGCTGTAGTGATCTCGGCTCACTGCAACCTCCGCCTCCTGGGTTCATGCGATTCTCGTGCCTTGGCCTCCCAAGTAGCTGGGATTACAGGCAGGCGCCACCATGTCTGGCTAATTTTTGTATTTTTAGTAGAGACAGCGTTTCACCATGTTGGCCAGGCTGGTCTCGAACTCCTGACCTCAGGTGATCCTCCTGCCTCGGCCTCCCAAAGTGTTGGGATTACAGGCATGAGCCACCACACCCGGCCTATTTTTTTCTTTTCCCTCCATTGTGCTATGATTTTTGACATTACAATTTTACTGAAACTACACCATAAGAATGAAGCAGAAATTATTATAACCTTTAAATAAACTTTACAACTGGTTCATACTCGTGTGAACGACAATTCTTTTGACTACTTCCCAACTGTGCATTCAATGGCGTCATATGGGCACCCTGAAGTTGGCCATAAAGGACGTATTTATACCACACTAATCAGCAAATACCATAAATCTGGGGCTTTATATGTTCAGAGTTTTCTTAAGAAAATAATTTTTTCAGAGAGCCAGTTTAACAGAATACCATGAGGCTGAGCCTTCGAGCGTTAGTGTGCTCATTCTGAGAGATGATATTTCTGGACAAAGTACACAGGTATCATCCGATGAAGAGTGAAGGGAATTCAGGGTCCAGAGAGGGTGCTAGGGCATCATTTCAGACTCATATTTCCCTTTTTTTTTTTTTTTTTGGAGATGGAGTCTTGCTCTGTTGCCCAGGCTGGAGTGCAGTGGCAAGATCTTGGCTCACTGCAACCTCCGCCTCCCGGGTTCAAGCTATTCTCCCGCCTCAGCTTCCTGAGCAGCTGGGATTACAGGTGCTCACTGCCACACCCAGCTAATTTTTGTATCTTTTAGTAGAGACAGGGTTTCACCATGTTGGCCAGGTTGGTCTCGAACTTCTGACCTCAAGTGATCCGCCCACCTCAGCCTCCCAAAGTGCTGGGATTACAGGTGTGAGCCACTGTGCCTGGCCTCAGACTCATGTTTCAAAGTCCCAAATACAAATCTGCCCACCTATTCCAGTTATTTAATCCAGATCTATGCTCAGAACTGAAAAGATGGAGAATCAATAGTTCACTTTAGAGAATGCGGTAGTTGGAAACAAAGACAAATGTATTACATGACAGTGGACCAGAGCACGTGATCGCAGGGGTGTGGATGCAAACCCACCATGGGGGACGTGCCTTCACATCACAGAGAGCGAAAGGAAGGGAGGGGCAGACACGGAGGATCCACAACAGCAGGACTGAAAGCACTGCCATTTAATGGAAGTTTAATGGAGGAAGCGTTCTCTACAGGCACCCAGACATCTTCCTGAACCTGACCCAAGCCTCCCCTTCTCGACTTTCTCAGTAGACGGTTTCCCGAATGATGGTCCAGACTTTCTTCCAGAACCTCCTAGGACTATCAGATTCATTGCCAAGGCTCTGGCACTCTGAAGGGTGCATTGTTCTCTCATGTATTTACCTCCTTGCTGCATCTTGGGGACTTCTCTAGCTGTGCCAGTCCTAAAGCAGCAGAATCCCGAGGACCACCAGGACCAAGCCAGCCACAGCCACGCGGATGAGATTCTCCACTGTGTAATCCTGGGGGTGTGAGGCTGGGGATGGTGGACCAAGAGGTCTCAGAGGTCAGGGCAGATCAACATCACCCGGGACCCCTGGATGTCCACCCAGGGCACCCACCTCCCCTTCACAGGACCTGACCCTCTGTGCCAGCCCCATAACCGAGAGCATCTCCTTACACACCAGTCTTGGAGTCTGTCTTGTTTTGCGATGGGCTGAGGGTCTCAGCTGCTCCTGAGAATCAACCAAAAAAGGGGGAGGTGTGTGAGGAGTTGAAGAGACTTAAGCCAACATGTCCCTCAGTTGCTGCATTCCTTTGTGTCTACACTTCTCCTAACTGCTCTGTAGTTGTGTGATAGAACCTTTCCCTGCCGTGGCAGAGGTACATTCGCATACATACATACATATATGCATAGGTGTAAATATGTGTGTATACATAATATGTGTTATGCATATGTGTATACATAATATGTATTATGCATATGTGTATAGATAATATGTATTATGCATATGTGTATGCATAATATGTATTATAAGATATAGTGTGAGTATATATAAATATATAATATATAAGATATATAATAGTGTGTGTATACATATAAATATATAATAAGATATGTAATAGTGTGTGCATATATAAATATATAATATATAATAAGATATATAATAGTGTGTATATATAAATATATAATACATAATATATTATAAGATATATAATAGTATGTATATATAAATATATAATACATAATATATAAGATATATAATAGTGTGTGTATATATAAATATATAATACATTATATATTATAAGATATATAATAGTATATATAAATATATAGTACATAATATATAATAAGATATATAATAGTGTGTGTATACATATAAATATATAATAAGATATGTAATAGTGTGTGCATATATAAATATATAATATATAATAAGATATATAATAGTGTATATATATAAATATATAATACATAATATATTATAAGATATATAATAGTATGTATATATAAATATATAATACATAATATATAAGATATATAATAGTGTGTGTATATATAAATATATAATACATTATATATTATAAGATATATAATAGTATATATAAATATATAGTACATAATATATAATAAGATATATAATAGTGTGTGTATACATATAAATATATAATAAGATATGTAATAGTGTGTGCATATATAAATATATAATATATAATAAGATATATAATAGTGTATATATATAAATATATAATACATAATATATTATAAGATATATAATAGTATGTATATATAAATATATAATACATAATATATAAGATATATAATAGTGTGTGTATATATAAATATATAATACATTATATATTATAAGATATATAATAGTATATATAAATATATAATACATAATATATAATAAGATATATAATAGTGTGTGTATATATAAATATATAATACATAATATATATTATAAGATATAATAATGTGTGGGTAATATAAATATATAATACATAATATATAAGATATATAATAGTGCATATATAAATATATAATACATAATATATATTATAAGATATAATAATGTGTGGGTATATATAAATATATAATACATAATATATATTATAAGATATAATAATGTGTGGGTATATATAAATATATAATACATAATATATAAGATATATAATAGTGTATATATAAATATATAATACATAATATATATTATAAGATATATAATAGTGTGTGAGTATATATAAACACATACATATATATTTGAAGTGAGAAGAGTATTATATAATTTAGAAACAAACAAGTTTGTCCTCCATTTTCTTGTGGTTAATGTAATTATTATCAATAAATCAGAAGAGATCATTTCGGAAAGGATTGAAAGGGAGTGTGTCTGTGGTAAGTTAATAGGAACTAAAATTAGCATACCCAAACCAATAGCTTTCTCATCCATACGTAACTAATTTTAGAAAATAGAAAGGAATCAAAGACTTTCAAATTATTCAAGTAGTAAAACAATGCTTAAAATTCACAATGTCCACAATTTTTATGAATACAACTTCAAGCATCTGCTAACTGTATAAAGTTTAATTTTAAATGTATTGGATACAAAGACATTATTAATGAGAAGTTATTCTCCATCATGAATGCACATATTTAATTTAATCCCAAAGAAAATCAGAGCACAGTTATTTTACATCATAACGCTACCTAACAAATTAAATGTGTAAATTATAAATGCCAGCATTGCTTTGAAATCTTCAGAAACAGAAAGAGAAACTAGATATGTGGACATAAAAAATAAAGGACAGAAAGGAATTGCACACGAGGTTTGCTGTTGAATAATTTGCCTGCATTGCTGCAGTGAGCAGGTGCATGATCTCCCCTTCGTCTCAGGTATGCACTGAGTATTTTGGGGCCGCCAGGGGAGCCCAGGTGGGGAGTGGGTGGGGCCTCCATCTTCTACCCTCAGCCTAAGCATGATTCCTCCAAGGTTTCTCCATATCTCATTTCAGCCCTCCCTGGCCTTTAGCCCCATCTGAGGTCTCTGGGGTGGGAGCCCAGGATTAGGAGGTCCCTGACTATTTCCACCCTCTCATGGGCTGGGCCCTCCCCTGCCGACCCTCCCCCTTTACTCCCCTCTTTCCTTAGCGTCCTGAGCTCTCCTGGGGGCAGGGCCTGAGCTGAGGTTTGAGCTCAGAGAGGACAGGGTCAGCGGCCTCACCTGAGACCACGAGCTCCAGGGGGTCACTGGGGTGAGACAGCAGGTAGGGGAAGAATCTGCGTGAGCTGTAGCACCTGTAGGTCCCCGCGTGGGCTGAGGTCACAGGACTCATGGGGAATTCAGCCTGGTGCTGCTGAGCTTGGTGCTCTGATCTCAGACGCAGTGGGTGATGGGCTGCCCCCTCCTTGGTCAGAAGGAAAGTGTCCAACTGCTCCCGTGACTGACACAGCAGGGTCACGTTCTCTCCTGAGGCCACCGTGGGGCCCGGCTGCACCGAGAGGGAGGGTCTGCCACGGATCTGTCCTGGAGAGAAGAAGGATGGGTGAGGGGCTGCCCCACCTCGTTCTGAGCTGACACCTCCCCAGGCCTCTCCCTGGGACCCTCAGTGTCTCTGTCTCTGTTTTCTCTGAGTCTCCCCCTCCCCGCCCATCCCCTGTCTCTGTCTGTCTCTCCGTCCCTTAGGACCCCCACCCCTCATCCCGGCCATCACCACCTGGGCTCCCCCAGCAGGGCCTGTGCGGAGCCTGGGTCCCTGACTGAACCTGCTGGGCTCCTCACCTGCGATCAGGATGCTCAGGGGGTCACTGGGGGCCGACCACTCGGAGGAGAGGTTGTGTGCACCGTAGCATCTGTACTGGCCCCCGTGGGAGACCCTCACAGGGCCCAGGGTGAAGTTGGCCTGGGAGAGCCCAGCCTGGGGCTGCCGGCCAGAGCCCTGGACGAGGTCATGTCCCCCCTCCTTGTACAGAGTGAATTTGTCATAGCCGACATCAGAGCCACACTGGAGGGTCAGATTCTCCCCAGGGGCCACGACAGGGCCCTGCAGGGTCAGGAGGGAGGGCTTCCTAGACACGCCTGGAGGGAAAGAAGAGTCGGGACTAGGAGGGCTGGTTCCTCCCACACCCCTTCCTTCTCCCCTCCTGGCCCTGCAGGTCTCACTGTCTCTCACACTCAGTGTCTCTGGGCTCAGGAGTCCCAAACTTCCCTTGTTCCACCCTCCTACATGGGGCTCCGTGAGAGTAAGTTCTCAAAAATAAATAGGGCAAGGAGGAAGACATCCATACCTAAGACCAGGATCTCCATGGTATCACTGGGTTCCGACCACACCCAGGGGAAGTTCGTGTAATGCCCATAGCATCTGAACATCCACCGGTGACTGGCAGCCACACGGCCCACAGGGAACAGGGCCAGGGACAAGGGACAGCCCCTTGGAGAGTTCCTGTGAGTCCAGCATCCAGGAGAGCTTGTTTTCTCCTTCCTCAATCAAAATGAACCTGTGAAATCCCACCCTTGAGCTACACTGGATGGTCACGTTCTCTCCTGAGGTCACCACAGGGCTCGGCAGGGCTGAGAGAGTGGGTTTTCTGTGGGCTCCTAGGAGAGAAGGAGACACTGTCTTAAATGGGGCTCACGCGTCCCACATCATCCCCCAGGGCTGAGTTATTAGAACGGAGATGCCCTTGAGAGCTGACCCCCTTCCTGCAGGCAGAGCCTGGGGCTGGGACCCCTGAGTGTCCTCTTACCTGTCACCACCAGCTCCAGGGGCTCGCTGCGCTCTGACCAGCCTGCAGGGCTGAGATAGTGACAGTGGTATCTCCCTGCATGGTGCTCTCTCATGGATGGGATGAAGAAGTTGGTCTTGTTCCTGGGCTCTGGTGGGCTCTGTTGGTACCAGGTCATGGGGTTTCCTTCCTTGGTGAGATAGTAACCCTGGGTATCCAGGGTCCCCTGGCACCAGAGGGTCATGGGGCTCTCCCAGGTAATCACAGAGCCTGGCTCAGCCCAGAGGCTGGGTTTGGGGAGGGTCCCTGGAAGAAACCACAGGCTGGGGTCCACAGACCTCCCCCGCTCCTCATTCCCAGCTCAGGTCACAGACCCTCTTGATTTTCTCACCCTCAGTTCAGAAGCCCCTGAGATGAGAGTCCAGGTGCTGAGTGTGAGGTCAGGCATGGGAGGTTAGCAGAGACTCACCTGCAAGTGCTTGGGCTTTCTGGCCCAGACTCAGCCATGGAGAAGAGTTTCCTGTGGGGGATTTGGAACACAGAGGTGTGGCTGCTTCCCTTCCTGTTGGAGCACCAGTAGCCACTGGAGCCCTGAGGCTCTCTGGTGAACAAGGCTGCTGTGGGACCCTCCCCACCTCAGCCCAGTGCCCCTCCTGTCCCTCGTCTCTCCACCACTGACTGAGGCACAGAAGAACAGTGAGGATGGACACCATGATGCCTGCTCTGCGTGCTCCAGCTGTGGGACAGGTGACCACATGGCCCTCCATGACAGACAGATGCACGGATGTGGTTAAGTCAGAGCCTGCTGCCGCCTGCCTGGGTCCCCACAGCTGTGAACCCACAGGAAGTGGACAGCCCCTTGCTGGGCCTGTCTCTTATTCCCCCCCCAGTGCAGGGGCTCAGGAGGACCCAGGCCCTCTGCACACATCTCAGCCCAGACCTGAGGTGTCCCCTGATTGCCAGGGATCCTTTGTCTGAAAACCTGCCCGTGGAGGGTGGACCCAACATCATATCTATGTCAGCTCCCAACTTAGCTGGGTCTAAACTGAAAACACAGCCCTTATTTTCTCAGAGCCTCCACTCATGACATCGGCTTTCTTTTTCCCCACTGATGCAAAGACAAATATTTCCCAGCAGAAAGTCATCCTGATCTGGAGAGACCCATTTCCTGCGTTCAGTAAATAAAGTCAGTTTCATTAGGGGAGGCTCTGGGAAAATAAGGGGATGCAGACTAGCAGAAGATGAACATTTAGCTACTTGTTTCTCAATTAATTGATTTATTACCAAAGAGAGAGAAGTGGAAACATGAGAATAGGGACCATGACTAGAATGTGGTTGAGGGAATGGTTTCTATCTTATTCCCTGGCAGAGAACTAAGGGATAAGAATGAGAAAGCTGGCTGGGTGCAGTGGCTTACACCTGTAATCCCAGCACTTTGGGAGGCCGAGGCAGGAAGATCACAAGGTCAGGAGTTCAAGACCAGCCTGACCAACATGGTGAAACCCCTGTCTCTACTAAAAATACAAAAACTAGCTGGGTGTGCTGGCATGCGCCTGTAATCCCAGCTACTAGGGAGGCTGAGGTGGGAGAATCGCTTGAACCTGGGAGGTGGAGCTTGCAGTGAGCCGAGATCGCGCCACTGCACTCCAGCCTGGGCAACAAAGCCGGACTGTCTCAAAAAAAAAAAAAAAAAAAAAAAAAAAGAAAGAGAGAAAACCCAGCAGTGAGAGGTAGTTGTGAGAACACACTAAAGAGGAAAGATAATCCAGGGCTGGGAGTGGTGGCTCATGCCTGTAATTCCAGCACTTTGGGAGGCTGAGGCTGGCAGATCACAAGGTCAGGAGTTCGAGACCAGCCTGACCAACATGGTGAAACCCTGTGTCTACTAAAAATGCAAAAATTAGCTGGGTGTGGTGGTGGGTGCCTGTAATCCCAGCTACTCAGGAGGCTGAGGTGGGAGAATCGCTTGAACCCAGGAGACGGAGGTTGCAGTGAGCTGAGATTGCACCACTGCACTCCAGCATAGGCAACAAAGCCAGACTCTGCCAAAAACAAAAACAAAAACAAAAACAAAAACAAAAAACAAGAAAGCTCAGTGAGAGGTGGTTGTGAGAACACACTAAAGAGGAAAGATCATTCAGGGCTGGGAGTGGTGACTCACGCCTGTAATCCCAGCACTTTGGGGGGCCACAGGCGGGTGGATTACCTGAGGGCAGGAGTTCAAGACCAGTCTGGCCAACATGGTGAAACCTCGTCTCTACTAAAAATACAAAAACTAGCTGGGTGTGATGGCGGGTGCCTGTAATCCCAGCTACTTGAGAGGCTGAGTCAGGAGAATCTCTTGAACCCAGGAGGCAGAGGTTGCAGTGAGCTGGGATCGTGCCACTGTACTCTAGCCTGGGTAACAGAGCAAGGCTCTGTCTCAAAAAAATAAAAATTAGAAAGAAAAAAGGAGAAGGAGAAGAGGAAGGAGACAGAAAGGAGAGAAACATCCCTGAGGTGGAACATTACATGCAACATGGAGTAGGCAGGGAATCCGATAGAGCACTGAAACTCTCGCTGGGTACGGTGGCTAACATCTGTACTCCCAGCACTTTGGGTGGCCGAGGTGGATGGATCACCTGAGGTCAGGAGTTTAAGACCAGCCTGACCAACATGGTGAAACCCCATCTCTACTAAAAATACAAAAGGCTGGGTGTGGTGGCTCACGCCTGTAATCCCAACACTTTGGCAGTCTGATACAGGCGGATCACATGAGATCAGGAGTTTGAGACCAGCCTGGCCAAGATGGCAAAACCTCATCTCTACTAAAAATACAAACATTACCTGGCTGTGGTGGCAGTCGCCTGTAATCCCAGCTATGCAGGAGGCTGAGGCAGGAGAATCGCTTGAACCTGAGAGGTGGAGGTTGCAGTGAGTCAAGATCGTGCCATTGCACTCCAGCCTGGCCAATAGGAGCAAAACTCCATGTGAAAATAAAATAAAATAAAATAAAATATAATAAAATAAAATAATAAATCAAAAAAGGACTGGACATCTCCTGTGGGTTGTCAGTGAATGGAACTAAGCAAGCCACCGCTCTTTCCCTTTTGTCCCGCAAGTGTCTTTCTTGGCCTCCAGGAAGTGAGTTCCATCATGTCAGACCCTATGTTTGTTCCTGCTGGGTTCACTGAGGCTCCTCCCTTTCCACCTGTGGCTCCCCATGGGTTCCCAGTCCCCAGCCAGTGTTGTGAATCGAGCCAGGAAGACCAGCCCTATCACACCCCTCCTGATGGAATTCCCACAGTGTCATCCTGGAGAACAGGGGCTGGGGGCTGGGGTAGGATCAGAGACCTTTTCATGTGGGCCAGGCCCCTCCCTCCACAGGAGCTCTGACACGAAGCTCATCACCATTCATTTCACCCTGACGATATTCTTCCTGCCCAGACACCCCCGTTCTCCCTATGTCATCATGGGCACCTCAGTGAAATCCATGGTTGAGGGTCTCTGTCACTTACTCTGCCCTCTTCTTGGAAAATTTCCTTGGATCCTTCCAGAGCCCTTCCTGAGTGTGCTGCAGGGTCTCTGCCACATGACACACTCTCAGGAACCCTCATCCTCCCCTTAATCTACTGCGCCCACATAGCCAGGTGCAGGCTCCGTTTCTTCATCTTCCCTTCCCCACAGGCCCCGATGGAGAGTGGATTAGACTCGCTCCTGAGTAGGGACTCAGGTCACTCTGACCCCTTCCTCCCTGTGGACGAGGCCTCTGTCCCAGAGCTTTGGAGGCTGAAGGGCCTTGTGGATTCCCGCACTGGCCACAGTCTCCGATGCAGATGGGGAACTGGGGACCTGGGAGGGGTTGCCTAGCCCAAGGCCACATAGCTGGGCGGTGGCACAGCCTTCACTCACACAGGGACATTCCATCTTCCCAGGGACTTCACACTGGAGGCTAAGAGCCCCACTTTGCACACCACATTCAGGGGTAGATTCTGTGTGTGACTAACAAGTTCTCTTAGGGTTCCGAGGTAACAGGACAGCAAATGGATGAGTGAGAGTTTCCCTCACCCCACTGAAGTAGGACCATTCTCTGTGGAGGGTTGGTCCCCTGACTTCCTCTACTCTGTCATCTCCCTAGTGACTGATAGGGGTCCTGGGGTCTCTTCCCTGGAATCCCATGAGGGACAATTCCTTTCCTGAAGGGAAGGTATAGAGAGGACTAGCAGGTGCCTGGTGATGGAAAGTCCCCATAATCAAGAGACATTGCCTCCCCCCCCCGGCATGATAAATATCTGGGTTTCCAAATGGGAAATCTGTCTGTGATGAGAGCTCAGGAGGGGCTTCTGGAAGATGGAAAAGGGCTAGAGGCTGAGGCCACTGCTTATCTCCCCACACTGTATCTGGCTTCACCTCCTGTGTTTGTCCTGACCTCTTCCTTCACTCACCTGGATAAGTAGGACCCCAAAGTGGGCCTCCAGACAGGAAGCAGTGGAGAGTGTGGAGCTGCCCTGTCTACCACCCTACACCCTGACACCACTGTCATACTCAACCTCTCTTTTCCTCTTTGTGTTTCTCATTGCTTCATTTTGTCTGGAATCCCTAAGATTCCCATGTCTCCAGCAGGCTGTCCCTCAGACGTGGCTATATGATTTAGTGTTTCACAGGGCATGCAGCAGGCATGGGCTACCCCCAGTAACAGTGGTCATCTAGGGCTGATCACTCACAGGCAGAGCCATCGACAGAGAGCTGCAGCATCTAGAGGTCCCATCACCAGCCCCAAGACCCAGAGAGAAGTTGGCCTGAATGCCCCACTCTGTCTCTGCACCCCAGTGAGCCAGTGTCCAGGGGCCTTACCTTCCTCGTTAGAAGGCACAGGTCAAATGAGCTTCCAGAGCTGCAGAGCAAAGTCACATTCTCTCCATCATTACTTACTGCAGGGCACAGTTGAGCTGAGAAGGAAGGTCTCTTGTAGACGCCTGGGGAAAAAAATAGTCCTTGACTGTCGAGCACAAGCCTTACCCAGCCTATCCTCAGGGCATGAAAAAGGCATTCTCTCCACCTGTTCTGGGGAGCACACTCTGTTACCCACTCGTGCCTCTCTCCATCTCAGTTCTAGCTCTACAAGCTGGCTCATCATGTGTGTGTTTTCCTGTCTGTCTTTGCTCAGCTTTTCCTTGAATCTCTTGCTTTTTGCCGGTGCGTGTGTGGCTTTCTGCCCTTAGAACCATATGAGATTTAGGGTTCTCCTGGCACATAGAACTGTTTACTTTGAGGACCCTCAGAAAACATAGCCCTGGGCTAAGGCTCCCTGTCCTGGAACTAGAAGGTTATGGGTGTCACCATTTCCCAACAGCATGTCTGAAAGTGCCAGAATCTTCAAAGAGTCTGCAACATGTTTGTAGGATCTTTATAGGGTCTGATATTGCAGGGACCAACCAAAGTGCCCTCACACCCCAAGACGCTGGAAGTGACCCCTTGCTGAAAGTGGTTGGAAGTTTCACATAGAAGTTTGAGTTAAGCCACATTGCTGAGCAATGCCTCAGCATCCCAGTCTTCATCCAGACCTTCCAGGAGCCTGGCTGGAGGGGGTGTCTCTGGTGTGTCACTGAGCCTTATAGCAGAGGAAGGGGGCTATGGTGGAAACTACCTCCAAGATACCACTCAGTCCTAAGCTGGGGAACAAGCTGAGCTTGGATTCTGGTAGTGAATGAACCGGGAAACATTTATTTGAAGGGTTCTAAGAGTAGCATCGTGTGGGTGCGTTAATTGTATGTGAAGGGGAAGATCCTGAGAAAACAAGAGCTGCTCCACTCTGTGCCTGGGTTTACCAGAGGGACCGATGAGGTCCTCACAAGACCCAGGAATCCCACCGGGGGAAGGAGGCTTAGGGAGATGTGTTTAAGACTGTTAAGTGAGTCACAGACAGAAGCAGATCAAGCCATCCCACCACCTAGGTTTGTGGTTTTGTTTCTCCTAAACTTCCTTTCTGTAAGTAGCAGAACCTTCTCATCACCATCCTTCAAAACCTCTGCATTGTTTGAGCTCCTTGTATTTTCTGGAGATTAATCTCTTGCTTGCAAATATTCTTTCCCATTCTGTAGGTGGTCTCTTCACTCTGCTGTTTGTTTCCTTGATTGTGCAGAAGGTTTGCAGTTTGCTATGATCTCATTTGCCTATTTTTGCTTTTGCTGCCTGAGCTTTTGAGGGTTTTTTTTTTTTGTTTTTTTTTTTGAGACGGAGTCTCGCTCTGTCACCCAGGCTGGAGTTCAGTGGCATGATCTCAGCTCATTGCAACCTCCGCCTCCCGGGTTCAAGTGATTCTCCTGCCTCAGCCTCCCTAGTAGCTAGGACTACAGGCGAGTGCCACCACACCCGGCTAATTTTTGTATTTTTAGTAGAGGCAGGGTTTCACCACGTTTGGCCAGGCTGGTCTCAAACTCCTGACTTCAAGTGATCCACCCACCTTGGCCTCCCAAAGTGCTGGGATTACAGGCGTGAGCCACTGCGCCCGGCGTTGTATTGGATTTTTAATTCAGCCCTATTTTCTCCGACATTTGATATTGGCATTTTTGTCTTTTTTGGATATGCTAGGATCATGGTGTCATAATTTAATTTTAATTTTTATTTTTATTTTAAGTTCCGGGGTACATGTGCAGAATGTGTGGGCTTATTGCATAGGTCAATGTGCGCCATGGTGGTTTCCTGCACCTGTCAACCCATCACCTAGGTATTAAGCCCAGCATACATTAGCTATTTTTCCTAATGCTCTCCCTACCCCTACCCCACCCCCCCCCCGACAGGCCCCAGTGTGTGTTGTTCCCCTCCCTGTGTTCACGCATTCTCATTGTTCAGCACCCACTTGTAAGTGAGAACATGCAGCGTTTGATTTCCTGTTCCTGTGTTAGTTTCCTGAGGATAATGGTTTCCAGCTCCATCCATGTCCCTGCAAAGGACATGATCTTGTTTCTTTTTATGGCTTCATAGTATTCCGTGGTGTATATGTCTCACATTTTCTTTATCCAGTCTATCATTGATGGGCATTTGGGTTGATTCTATGTCTTTGCTATTGTGAATAGTGCTGCGATGAACACATGTGTGCATGTATCTTTGCAATAGAATGATTTATATTCCTTTGGGTATACGCGCAGTAATGGGACTGCTTTTACCTGTGCCAAAATACTGAAGTAGAAATGATTATTCACTCTAAAATGGAAGGTAATAAGATGTATACGTGAGCTATCAGATGCCTGGTGCTTATGAGTGAAGACAAGTCTGTCCAACGCTTCCCAACCCTGCATTCAGGGATGTCTCGTTGGCATCTTGATTATGGCCATGAAAAAAGAATTTACGTCAAGGAAATTGGTAAATGCCACTAATCATAGCATTTCAAAAAATGTCTTTTTCAGAATTAGCATACCATTGGGTCGTGACTTCAAATGCCAGTGTGTTGATTCCAGGTGGTGATATTTCAGGAGAAACTACACAGATAGCATCTGATAAGGAGGGAAGAGCTCATAGGGTCCACACAGGAGGTGAGGGCATCACGGTGCATTTATCTTTTCCTGGTCGGACTCTGATCTTCTCCCGTTGAATTAGTTCCTAAACCAGGTGCGGAACTCTGAACTGAAGACATGAAGACCCAGTAAAGTACACCAGGAAGTGTGGCAATGAGAAATGAAGAGGACTGTGTGACACGCCATGGACCAGAGCATGCAGGTGTGCAGAGGTGTGGACCCAACGCTGCCATGTGGGATGGAGCCTCATGTCTAAGTGTGGGAAAAGAGGCAGATCCAACCAAGGAAAGTCAACATTAATGGAGAGGAAAGGTATCACATTTTAATGGTTCTCCATGGATCACCCCAGAAAATGTCCCTGCACTCGGACATTGATTCCTTCCTCTGGAAATGACCAGCAGACAGTCCAGATAGCATCGGCCCTAGATTTTCTTCCAGAACCTCCTGGGATCATCAGATCTGTTCCTGAGGCTTCACGACTCTATAAAGTACATTATCCTCTCTGCTGTTCACCTCCCGGCTGCATCTTGGGAAGCTTCTCTGGCTGTGCCAAGCCTCAAATGACAGAATCCCGAGGACCACCAGGATCAAGCCAGCCACGCCCATGTGGATGAGATTCTCCACTGCGTAATCCTGAAGGTGTGAGGCTGGGGATGGTGGACAAAGAGGTCACAGAGGTCAGGGTGGATCAGATTGTCCACCCAGGGCACCCACCTCCCCTTCACAGGACCCAACCCTCAGTGCCAGCCCCATCACTGAGAGTATCTCCTCACATACCAGTCTCAGAGTCAGACTTGTTTTGTGATGGGCTGAGGGTATCAGCTGCTCCAGAGAATCAAAACAGAGAAAAAGAGACCTGAGCCCAGCCTCTCACCTGGGCTCTGCAATTTTTTTTTTATTACTTAATGTCTCATGATGTGACTTTTACAGAATTTCTAAAAAAAAAAAAAAAAAACCTCTTCCTCCGCTAGCAGGATTCCCTCTAGTCTCCTCATTGAACGATTTCAGTTTTCCTGTGTTCTATGGATTTAAACATTGCTCCTGAGTCATCTGGGAGAGAGTTTTCCTGCATCCTGAGAGCTCAGGATCTGCAAGGAAAGTGGTCCCCAGTACAGAGGTCACTAAGGCCTGTGTGCTCTCTGTGCAGCCTGGGACACAGGAGAACATGAGCCAACTCCCCCGGAGATGAGAGTTTCACGGATCCACCAGCTGAGGACCCAGGCTCCGTGGATGAGGGTTAGTCATCAGGGGAGCCTCAATGTCAGAAGCACAAAGGGGTGAAATTCTGGGGCTGCCTCCCCTTCATGCCCTCAGCCACTTCACCTGGAGTTTCATTGTCCATTTAATCTCTAGGTAGCTAATTATTCGTATAGGCAGCAACAGGTAGAATGTGATACACACACAGAAAAACACAAACACAAATATATATCTGTTTTATATATATAGTGGGCCTTAAAAACTATCTCTGCCTTCTTGAAGTGTGGGTTCACCTGGAGACAAACAGCAAACATATAGAAACACAGCAGTGGAAATTTACTAGTCGTAGCAATGGTTTTAGATATATTGGTAGAGACCTATATTTATGTGTGAATATATATTATTTGTATAGATATACGGATAACTAGGTTTCAATGTCACGTAAGATGTTGGTGTGACCACACACGCGCACACACACACACACACGTATATGCAGAGAGTGGAAGAGAGAGAGAAGGAATTCAGCCGCATGGTGTAGGTTGGTTAATTACTTGACATAAATGAGAAGCAGGCAGGACTGGGCTGAGCTGTGTCGTCAGTGAAGGTCACACTTGGAGGTGACATTGAAGCTGATTCCTCAATAGGAAAAAGGGCCAGGAAGGAGGCGTGTGGAGACCCAGACAGGGAGCAACAGAGGCTCCAGAAAGAGCAGGTCCCAGAAAGGTCTCAGCCTGTTCTTCAGAAAGGAATGGCCGCTTGTCTACAGGGTGGAGGAGGAGGCAGAGGAGGAGGGGAGATGAGCTTCGGGGCCTTGGTGGATTGAGAATAGGCCAGGATGAACCGGCCAGGAAAGAGCGGCCCCAATATCTCTCTCTCTGTCTCTCTGTCTCTGTCTCTGCCTCTCTCTCCCTCCCTCTGAGGTCTGGAAAGTGCTGTAGGGTTTCAAGGAGTGGTACCAGTCATTTGACTTTTTCTGAAAAGATAAGCCCTACCCCCTCCATAGCAAATGTCCAGAACGAAGGAAGTCCACATTTCTACCTGAAGTTTACAAAACCTCAGGGAGCACGTGAGATCAGGGCTATTACGAAACCGGGTGAGAATAAAAATAGGTGATGCTGCAAATCTACTTTCACCAGCTTGGACAAAAAGGCCAATATGAGATTTTAAAAACCCAAATAAAAAATGTCAACGGCGCAGAAGAGGAGCGGTGCACATTCCCTGAGCTGCTGCGGGAGCACGTGCAAGTCCCTGTGAGGCTCAGGTGTGCGCTGAGTGCTGGGGAGGCTGCAGGGGAAAGCAGGAAGTGGGGCGGGGTGGGGGGGGGTCGGGGGTGGATGCAGGTGGCACCGGCAGCCTGGATGCTTCTCTCTCCAGGAGGGCGTCTGTTGGGGACTGGGACACAGAGGCTCTGATTCTGAGGTGGAGACACCAGGATGGGAGCAGGTGGGGCCTCCGTCTTCCACCCTCAGTCTAATCTCAACTCCTTTGAGGTTCACCCCCCGTCTCCTCCCAGCCCTCCCTGCACTTTACTCTACTGAGACTTCAGGGGTGGGAGCCAGGGGTGGGAGGTCCCTGTCTATTTCCATCTTCCCATGGGCTGGACCCTCCCCTGCGGACCCTCTCCCTTCACTCCCCTCTTTCCTTAGTGTCCAGAGCTCTGCTGGGGGCAGGGCCTGAGCTGAGCCTTTGAGCTCAGAGAGGACAGGGTCAGCGCCCTCACCTGAGACCACGAGCTCCACGGGGCCACTGGGGTGAGACAGCAGGTAGGGGTCGGAGCTGAGTGAGCCGTAGCACCTGTAGGTCCCCGTGTGGGCTGAGGTCACAGGACTCATGGGGAATTC
>NW_016107311.1:0-100553 GCF_000001405.40 Homo sapiens | reverse complement strand
GCCTTACAAGAGGTCCTAAGAGGAACGCTAAATATGGAAAGAAAAGACCATCACCAGCCAATAGAAAACACACTTACGTACATAAACCAGTGACACTATAAAACAACCACACAAACAAGTCTGCATAATAACCAAACCAGCTAACAACATGATGACAGGAAAAAATCTGCACATGTAAATGCTAACTTTGAATGTAAATGGACTAATTGTCCTAATTAAAATGCAGAGAGTGGCAAGTTGGATAAAGAAGCAAGAGGCCAGGTGCAGTGGCTCACGCCTGTAACCCTGGCACTTTGGGAGGCTGAGGTGGGTGGATCATTTGAGGTCAGGAGTTCGACATTAGCCTGGCCAATGTGATGAAATCCCATCTCTAATAAAAAAAAAAAATAGCTGGGCGTGGTGGTACACACCTGTAATCCCAGCTATTTGGGAGGCTGAGGCAGGAGAATCATTTGAACCTGGGAGGCAGAAGTTGCAGTGAGTCAAGATCATACCACTGCACTCCAGCCTGGGTGACAGAGTGAGACTCCATCTCAAAAAAAAAAAAAAAAAAAAAAGCAAGACTCAACATTATGCTGCCTATAAGAAACCCATCTCATATGCAATGACATCCATAGGCTCAAAGTAAAGAAATGGAGAAAAATCTACCAAGCAAATGGAAAGCCAAAAAAAAAAAAAAATGCAGGAGCTGCTATTAAAATTTCAGACAAAACAGACTTTATACCAACAAAGATCAAAAAAGGCAAAGAAGGGCATTAAATCATGGTAAAGGGTTCAATTCAACATGAAGACCATAGCAGGACAGTGGCCACGGAAGTCGGAATCTGCTAAGGAGTGTGTAATAGCCCAACTGCTGAATCAAAAAGAAAAAGAAAAAAAAAATTAAAAAAAGAGCATGAAGACCTAACTATCCTAAATATATATGCACCTAACATGGAAGCACCCGGATTCATAAAGCGTGTTCTGAGAGACCAACGAAGAGACTTAGACAACCACACAATAATAGGGGGAGACTTTAACATCCCGCCGACAGTATTAGATCATTGAGGCAAACAGAGATATTCAGGACCTGAACTCAGCAGTGGATCAAATGGACCTGACAGACATCTACAGAACTCTCCACCCCCAAAACAACAGAATCTACATTGTTTTCATTGCCTCATGGCACATACTCTAAAGTCAATCATACAATCAGACATACAGCAATCCTTAGCAGGCTGGGCACGGTGGCTCACACCTGTAATCCCAGCACTTTGGGAAGCCAAGGCTGGCGGATCATGAGGTCAGGAGATCGAGACCATCCTGGCTAACGCAGTGAAACCCCGTCTTTACTAAAAATACAAAAAAAATTAGCCGGGCGGGGTGGCGGGCACCTGTAGTCTCAGCTACTCAGGAGGCTGAGGCAGGAGAATGGTGTGAACCTGGGAGGCGGAGCTTGCAGTGAGCCTAGATTGCGCCACTGCACTCCAGCCTGGGCGACAGAGCAAGACTCCATTTCAAAAAAAAAAAAAACAATCCTTAGCAAATCCAGAAAAGCGAAATCAGAGCACAGTGGAATAAAAATAGGAATAAATACTAAGAAAACCACTCAAAACTGTACAATGCATGGAAATTAAGCAGTCTGTTCTGGAATTTTTGGGTAAATATAGCAGAATCTCTGGGACACAGCTAAGGCAGTGTTAAGGGGGAAGTTTATAGCACTAAACTCCCACTTCAAAAAGCTAGAAAAAGTTCAAATTAACAACCTAACATCATAACAAGAGGAACTAAGAGAACCAAGAGGAAATCAACCCCAAAGCTCATAGGAAACAAGAAATAACCAAAATCAGAGCTGAGCTGAAGGAGATTGAGACACGAAAAAGCATTCAGAAGATCAGCAAATCGAGGAGTAGAATTTTTGAAAAAATTAGTAAGACAGATGACTAGTTAGACTAATAAAGAAGAAAAGAGAGATGATCCGGATAAACACAATTAGAAACAACAAAGGGTATATTACCACTCACCCCACAGAAATACAATCATCAGAGAATATTATGAACACCTCTATGCACACAAACTAGAAAATCCAGAATAAATGGAGAAATTCCTGGACACATACACCCTCCTGAGATCAAACCAAGAATAAATTGAATACATGAACAGACCAATAATGAGCTCCAAAATTGAATCAGTAATAAAAATCCTACAGACCAGAAAAAGCCCAGTACCAGACAGACTCACAGCTGAATCCCATCTGATATATAAAGAAGAGCTGGTACTATACCTACTGAAACGTTCCAAAAATATTCAGGAGGAGGAATGCCTCCCCAGCTCATTCTATGAGACCAGCATCATCTTGATGCAAAAACATGGCAGAGACACAACAAAACCAGAAAACTTCAGGACAATATCCTTGTTGAACATAAATGCAAAAATCCTCAACAAAATACTAGCAAACTATCCAGCAGCACATCAGAAAGCTAATCCACCACCATCAGGTAGGCTTTATTTCTGGGATGCAAGGTTGATTCGATATAGGAGTCTCGCTCTGTTGCCCAGGCTGGAGTGTAGTGGCGTGAACTTGGCTCACTGCAAGCTCCGCCTCCTGGATTCACGCCATTCTCCTGCCTGAGCCTCCCGAGCAGCTGGGACTACAGGTGCCCACCACCACGCCTGGCTAATTTTTTTGTGTTTTTTAGTATAGACGAGGTTTCACCGTGTTAGCCAGGATGGTGTCGATCTCCTGACCTCATGATCCACAAGCCTTGGCTTCCCAAAGTGCTGGGATTACAGGCATGAGCCACAGTGCCCGGCCAATATACACAAATCTTAAATATGATTCATCACATAAATAGAACAACCCTCCCCACACACATAATCCTCTCAATAGAGCTTTTGATAAAATTCAACATCCCTTTATGCTAAAAAACCTCGACAAACTAGGCATTGAAGAAACATATTTCAAAATAATAAGAATGATGTATGACAAACTCACAGTCAACATCATATTGAATGGGCAAAAGCTGGAAGTATTCCCCTTGAAAACTGGCAAAAGACATGGATGCCGTCTCTCACTACTTCTGTTCAACATAGTACTGGAGGTCCTAGCTAGAGCAATCAGGCAAGAGAGAAATAAAAGGCATCCAAATAGGAAGAAAGGAAGTCAAACTATCCCTGTTTGCAGGTGATATGATTCTATACCTAGAAAACCACAGTCTCTGCCCAAACACTTCTTAATCTGATAAACAACTTTAGCAAAGTTCCAGGATACAAAATCAATATATAAAAATCAGTAGCATTCCTATACACCAAAAACATCTAAGCTGAGAGCCAAATCAAGAATAGAATCCATTCACAATTACTGCAAAAAGAATAAAATACCTGGGAATACAGCTAACCAGGGAGGTGAAAGATCTCTGCAAGGAGAACTACAAAACACTGGTCAAAGAAATCATAGATGACACAAACAAATGGAAAAACATTCCATGCTCATGGATAGGAAGAATGAGTATTGTTCAACACACAAATAATTCAGGCTTTAGAAGGAGCTGGAAGAGAGAAGACATGGATGGACGTGGGGCTCACACCCATTAGGAGGCTAAGGCAGTAGTAGTTGGGGTGGCAGAATATTCAGTAGTACACTAAGACTGCCTCATGCTTAGTACTGCAGTAGTACTACAGAATGCTAGAGTGTTCAGTAGGGTTAGACTATGGCAGCATCCTTTTAAATGAAGTGACGGGAGGAAGTGGGTTGCTAAAACAAAATAGAATCAGCATAAGGAAGGATATTGGGCAGATGACTCCTGACTTCCTCATTCTTGCAGTTTGAGCATTCAGTAAATTACAGATCCTTCATGGACAGTCTAACACAGGCAAGGACTAACTATAAATCCAGGCCTGAGCATTAATGAGTCTGAAGGGTTTGGAGATAACAAAGTGAGATAGAAATTATGCAAGAGAAGCACAGCAGAAACAACTAGAATGGGGATTAAAATAAGAATGGTGCTTCAGGCTATTCTTCAATTTCTTTATCCTAGAGCTCCCAAGAGGGTCTAAAGGGGCTGGGAGAGATTTACAGGACACTTACCTTCCTGTGCCTGAATCCTCTGGCCCAGACAGAGCACTGGAAGAGAGAGATTTATGAAAAATCAAGCTTCCATTTCCAACCTTTACGACAAATCACCCTCTGTAATGACAGACCAGAAAAAGACCAGTACCAGATGGATTCACAGCTCAATCCCACCAGATATATAAAGAAGAGCTGGCATTTTTTTTTTTTTTTGAGACAGAGTCTCGCTGTGTCGCCCAAGCTGGAGTGCAGTGGCATGATCTTGGCTCACTGCAAGCTCTGCCTCCCAGGTTCATGCCATTCTCCTGCCTCAGCCGCACGAGTAGCTGGGACTACAGGCGCCCGCCACCACGCCTGGCTAATTTTTTTGTATTTTTAGTAGAGACAGGGTTTCACCATGTTGGCCAGGATGGTTTTGATCTCCTGACCTTGTGATCCGCCTGCCTTGGCCTCCCAAAGTGCTGGGATTGCAGGTGTGAGCCACTGCGCCCGGCCAAGAAGAGCTAGTATTATTCCTACTGAAACTATTGAAAAAAATCCTGGAGGAGGGACTCCTCCCCAACTCATTCTATGAGGCCAACATTATCCTGATAACAAAATGTGGCAGAGATACAACAAAAACAGAAAACTTCTGGATAATATCTTTGTTGAACATAAATGCAAAAATCTTCAACAAAATACTAGTAACCATATTTCTATATGGGGTTCTATCATATGTTTTCCTTCCACAACAATCACAGTTTTGAGGTTCATTCTTTATTTTTACCTTTCAGATTCCAGCCTCTAAGTCTCTCCTTGATAAGAACCTTGGGACCATCATGAATCCCAGATAACACACTATAGGTTTAATACAAATATTAAACCTTGAGCCCCACAAGCTAGCTTGGGCTTGGGTAGAGACAAAGTTATAGATACATTGACAAAGACGGCCTTTCCACTAAGGAGATCAGAATCTCCTTGGCAGCCACTAAAATCTCCTAGTCACACTGTTAAGAGACACCCTGATTATTTTGGGATTTCTCTATCTTCCCCTCTAACCCACTTTTACTCTGAAACTCACCAAGACACAGGAGGGTGGTCTGTTTGGGGTCCATCGTGCTGACACGGCCTCAGCCCCGTTGCTCTCCTTTCAATGCACATTAGCAGGATGACAGATATTCTTACGACAATAAGCTCCGCAGGAAGTATGAGGACAGAGCCCCTCGTCAGGGAATTTCCACATCTATTGCCTCACAACAAAGTGGAACAGTTCGTTGCCGAATAACTTAGTTCCAGGTTGCTCTTGGGTGGAGCCCAAGAGAAGACATATATATGTATATTTTTTTAAATAGAGATGGGGTCTTTCTATGTTGGCCAGGGTAGTCTCTAACTTCTGGCATCAAGAAATCCTCCTGCCTAAGACCTATATTTCTATTTATGTTTCAGATGAGAAACGAATGAGAAGTGAATTTTCATTAAGCCAGTGTCTAATGGTGTTCAAATTCATCTTTGAACCAGATGCTACATCCAAATAGACGGGCTTGGGACAGAATATAAGGTGGTGGATACCATACAGGCAGACATTGCCTTCACTGGGCCATTAGTCAAAAGCTCTGTGGCTTTGTCTGTTCTGAACCTATGTTTCATCTCTGAGATTCATGGTCTGAGTATATTTACTTGGACTTGACCAGGCATGCAGTATACCCTTATCCTGGAGATGATCTCAATGCCAGAGTGTGGAGGCATTTTCTCTGGCACTATTTGTCATCTCTAAAGAAAGAATCTACTATTTTATTATACTTTTTTGTTTATTTGTATAAATTTAAGGAGCGCAAGTGAAATTTTATTACGTGGATATTTTGTGTAGTGGTGAAGTCTGGGCTTTTAATATAATTATCCTCAAATAATGTACATTGTTGCTCATTGAGTATTTTTTTAACTTTTATTTTAGGTTCAAGGGTACATGGGAAGGTTTGTTATACAGGTAAACTTGTGTCATGGGGGTTTGTTGTACAGATTATTTCATCACCTAGGTAATAAGCTTGGTACCTAATAGTTACTTTGCCTGCTCCTTTCCCGCCTCCCACCCTCCACCCTAAAGGAGACCCCATTGTCTGTTTTTCCCTTTTTTGTGTTCATGAGTTCTATTATTTAGCTTCCACTTATAAGTGAGAACCTGCTGTATTTGGTGTTCTGTTCTTGTATAGTTTGCTAAGGATAATGGCCTCCAGCTCCATCCATGTTTCCACAAAACATATGAACTCATTCTTTTTTTATGGCTTCAAATTAATTTTATTTTTATCTTATTATTTATGTTATTTTGATTGTAGACTCCTGGCTATCACGAATTCTTCAGGTATGGAGAGTGAAATATTCCTAATTAAACCTTCTACTATTTTATTTTATTTTATTTATTCTTTTTTTTTTTTTGAGACGGAGTCTTGCTCTGTCGCCCAGGCTGGAGTGCAGTGGCGTGATCTCAGCTCACTGCAAGCTCCACTTCCTGGGTTCATGCTATTCTCCTGCCTCAGCCTCCCGAGTAGCTGGGACTACAGGCATCCGCCACCACGCCCGGCTAATTTTTTTTGTATTTTCAGTAGAAACGGGGTTTCACCGTGTTAGCCAGGATGGTCTCGATCTCCTGACCTCGTGATCCACCCACTTCGGTCCCCCAAAGTGCTGGGATTACAGGCGTGAGCCACCGCGCCCCACTTTATTTTCATTTTAATACATCATAACTTAGCCCTTCCAACGCCGAAGTATTTTGAAGTCCTGAGCTTGTCCCATATTTCAGAAAGCCGATCAGCTTCCATGTTGACTGTTTCATTTGTGCAAATTTAAGTGACCTTTTGTTTTGCCACATTTTGTTAATTTCCACATACATATTTACGTTCGGGAAATTTGGAAATACTACGTTCTGGAAATTTGGTGTTGATGATTGCATGAAATTGACCGCATTCTAATTTTCTTTTTTTGTTGTTTTGTTACTTATGCCTTATTTATTCATTCCTTTGTTCTCACTTGAATGGGACTTTGGGTGAAAGACAAATAATGGCTGTACTCTTAGTTGAGTATTTAAAATGCAGAGATTGTAAAGGCAGGATGACCTAATTAAAAATACTATTGTTGGCTGGGTGCAGTAGCTCATGCCTGTAATCCCAGCACTTTGGGAGGCCAAGGCAGGTGAATCACTTGAGTTCAGGAATTTAAGACCAGCCTGGTCAATGTGGTGAAACCCAGTCTCTACTAAAAATATAAAAATTACTTGGGTGTGGTGGCGGGTGCCTGTAATTCCAGCTACTCGGAAGGCTGAGGCAGGAGAGCCACTTGAACCCAGGAGGCAGAGGTTGCAGTGAGCCAAGATCACTGCACTCCAGCCTGGGCAACACAGAGCGAGACTGTGTCTCAAAAAAACAAAAGCTATTGTTATGGTTTACAAATGACGTGGCTTTCTATTGGGAGAGAGATACTTACTAATTGTTGAATTTCAGGAACTTCAGTGGCCAATATTTACTAATGGGCTGGAACAGATTTTGTCAACTTACCACAACATTTGGTGTGGTTTTGTTCTTTTGTTTCCTCCTTTTGTGGAACAGGAATGGTAACGTAGCCATGGGGTGCTGAGATATTTGGTTAAACATTATTCTGTGTGTGTCTGTGGGGGTGTTGCTGAATGAGATTATCAATGGAATTAGTGTAATTTATAAAGCAGATTGCTCTCCCTAATGTGAGTCGGCCTCATTCAATCAGGTGGGACCTGAATAGAACAAAACATTGAACTGGTAATGTAAGATGAAGTTCCTTTTGCCTGGACATCAGTCTTTTCTGGCTCTTGAACTCTCACTAAAACATTGACTCTTTAGATGTTAAGCCTGCCAGCTTTTTTTGTTTGTTTGTTTTTTTGAGATAGAGTCTCACTCTGTCACCCAGGCTGGAGTGCTGTGGCATGATCTCGGCTCACTGCAACCTTCACCTCTTGGGTTCAAGCAATTCTCGTACCTCAGCCTCTGAGTAGCTGGGATTACAAGCGAATGCCACTATGCCCGGCTAATTTTTGTATTTTTAGTAAAGATGGGGTTTCACCATGTTGGCCGGGCTGGTCTTGAACTCTGACCTCAGGTGATCTGCCTGCCTTGGTCTCCCAAAGTGTTGGGATTACAGGCGTGAGCCATCATGCCCGGCATGAGCCTGCTAGCTTTTGGACTGTTACGTATACCACTAACTCTACTGGTTCTCAGACTTTTGCACGTAGACTGGAACTACACGTGGACTCCCCTGGGTCTCCAGCTTGCAGATGGCAGATCATGGGACCTGTCAGTCTACATAGTTGCATAAGCCAATATATAAATACCCTATCTGTGTATCAATCATTATATATCTGTCATTATCCAACTATATGTCTATCATTATTTGTGATATCATTATATATCTATCATTATTTGTCTATCAATCATTATCTATATATCTATCATTATTAGTGTTGATTATTTTTTTTTCTGGAGAACCCTGACTACTATAGCTTCCATGTTCCTGTCTCAACTGTCACCAGTCCCCTTAGCACAGGGCCTATCATAGCCATTCTACGGCCCAAGGAATTACAAGCCACATAACTACAGGAGTCACAGTGACCCAAGGATTTAGACGGAGACACGGAAGAATTGAGACATCTATTGGTCTCTGCATATTTTGGGATTTGGGATTTCCCAGCAGGGAAATTTGCCTTGAATCTGTCTAACTGGTCACTAAGAGTTGATTGGTAGGTTCCATTCTCCGTGCACAGCATAAACCCTAATAAGCCCAAACTGACTGGCAGTGGAGACTCTCAACCCTCAATGGGACCAAACTGTGACTGGCAGTGGAGACTCTCAACCCTCAATGGGACCAAACTGTGACTGGCAGTGGGGACCTTCAACCCTCAGTGGGACCGAACTGTGACTGGCAGTGGGGACCTTCAACTCTCAGTGGGACTTTACAGCACTCAGCTGCACCTGTGTGGAGAATTTGTCTCAAACACCTAAGAAGGAAGGAGGCCTTTGTTTCGAGGAAGAAGAAGGGGAGCTGCTTCTCTATCCACTGACCTCAGAGGTACCGGAGAGTGTCCAGTGAGGGCCTTAACTCTCTGCAGTATTTTTTTTTTTTTGAGATGGAGTCTCACCCTGTCGCCCAGGCTGGAGTGCAATGGCAGGATCTCGGCTCACTGCAACCTCTGCCTCCCCAGTTCAAACGATTCTCCTGTCTCAGCCTCCTGAGTATCTCAGATTTACAGGCACCTGCCACCATGCCCAGCTATTTTTTGTATTTTTAGTAGAGACAGAGTTTCACCATGTTGGCCAGGCTGATCTCGAACTCCTGACCTCGTGATCTGCCCACCTCCGCCTCCCAAAGTGCTGGGATTATAGGCGTGAGCCACTGCACCCAGCCACTCTCTGCAGTTTTAAAGGCCATTTCCATGAATTAGAGTATACTTAGGCACTGAGGTAAGCATGGCACAGCTTTCTGAAAATAAAGTTGAAACTTAGAGGTTTCTTTTAGCTTTATTGAGATATGATTGACAAATGGAAATTGTATATATTTAAGGTGTATTACACTTGATGTTTTGATGTATGTATACATGGTGACATGATCATCATAGTCAAGCTAGTTATATCCATCATCTCGCAGGGTTATTGTTTTTTTTTTTTTTTTTTTTTTGAGAGGAAGTCTTACTCTGTCCCCCAGGCTAGAGTGCAGTGGTGCCATCTTGGCTCACTGCAACCTCCGCTCCCAGGTTCCAGCAATTCTCGTGCCTCAGCCTCCTGAGTAGCTGGGATTACAGGCTTGTGTCACCACGCCTGGCTAATGTTTGCATTTTTAGTAGAGACAGGGTTTCACCATGTTGGCCATGCTGGTCTTGAACTCCTGACCTCAAGTGATCTGCCCGTCTTGGCCTCCCAAAGTGCTGGGATTACAGGCGTGAGCCACCGCGCCCGGCCTATGGTTTCTTTTTCTTTCTTTCTTTTTTTTTTTTTTGTGGTGAGGACCCTTAAGATCTACTCTCCCAGCCGGGCGTGGTGGCTCATGCCTGTAATCCCAGTACTTTGGGAGGCCGAGGCAGGCGGATCACGAGGTCAGGAGATCGAGACCATCCTGGCTAACACAGTGAAACCCCGTCTCTACTAAAAATACAAAAAATTAGCAGGGCGTGGTGGCGGGCGCCTGTAGTCCCAGCTACTCGGGAGGCTGAGGCAGGAGAATGGCGTGAACCCAGGAGGCGGAGCTTGCGGTGAGCCGAGATCGCGCCACTGCACTCCAGCCTGGGTGACAGAGCAAGACTCCAGCTCAAAAAAAAAAAAAAAAAAAAAAAAAATCTACTCTCCCATGCTTGCCTCGGCAGCACATATACTAAAATTGGAACGATACAGAGAAAACTAGCATGGCCCCTGCGCAAGAATGACACGCAAATTCGTGAAGTGTTCCATATTTAAAAAAAAAAATCTACTTTCCTGGTAAATTTCAAGTATAGAGTACAGTATTGTCAACCATAGTGGCAAAGCTGTACAAGAGATCTTCAGACCCATTCCTCCTGAATACCTGATAGTTTGTATCCTTTGATCAACATCTCCCAATTCCCTCCCCCACACTGTCCCTGTAGTTCTAGTGAGTTTCCCAGACTCTGATGTCTCAATTTCATTCAGTCACTTTCCTCCAGATACATCTACCCATTCCTACTGCATCTTAGTATCCTGAGCCTTGGGGGCAGTTTCTGTGCCAAGTGGAAATGTGGAAATGAGATATTACGAAGAAAAATCTTTGCCCACCTAGACAGGGATCTGATGTTTTCCAAGATGACACATGATTACATGTTGAAATGATAATATTTTGAGTCTACTTGTATAATAAAATAATATTTTGGATCTATTAGGTTAATATTTTGGGTCTGTTGGGTTAATAATATTTTGGGTCCATTGGGTTAACTTAAATTAATTTTATCTGTTTCTTGTTAGCTTTTTAATTTGGATACTAGCAAGTTTGAAAGAATGCATGTGGTTTGCATTATGTTTCTATAGGACAGAACTTACCTGTAGATGTAAGGGAGTCACAACAAAATTACAAGCATTGTTTTTGGTGGAAATGAGAAAAATGATTACAAATTTACATGGAAAAGCAAATAGCCAATAATAATAATAATGGCAATCTTAAAGAGGAAGGAGAAATTAGAGGATTCAGGCTGCCAAATTTTAAGGGGTTCTATAAGGCCACATAAAGTGCAGCATCCTCATGAGAGTGGACACAGAGAGCCACTGAGCAGAAAAGAGTGTGTAAAATACATCTGTGTACACACAGTCCTTTTATAGTTGACAGAGGCTGCCATGCGGATTAAGGTGGAATAGAATGTCTTCTCAGTAAATAACATTGGACCAGAGGGTTACAAGCAGGAAAAAATAAATCTAAGCTTATTTTCACACCATAAAAACACTGCTAATTTTTTATCTTATTATCATACATTTTGATGATTTATTTATAAAATTGATGAATGAAAATTATATACAGTTGTCCTTCACTATTCATGGGTGATTGGTTCCAGGAAACCCCCCTCCCTACCAGACACCAAAATCTGCAGATGCTCAAGCCTGTTGCATGAAATGGCACAGCGTTTGCATATAACCCATGCACATCCTCCTGTATACATGAAATCATCTCTAGATTACTTATAATTCCTGATACAGCCTACACACCACCTCACTTGTGTCCACACAATATAGTATTTTTGCTTTTTGGAACTTTGTGGATTTTTTCTCTGAATATTTTTGATTTATATTTGGTTCAATAAACACCTGTAAACCCCACAGATATGGAGGAGCGACTGTATATTTATAGTATGAAAGATGATGTGTTGACATGTGTCCCTGTGGAGATGAGACTAACAAGGCCTATGACTCTACAAATGTTTCATCTTGGAATGACTCTGCCAGCTTTCCAGGTCTGCAGAGAGTAAGAATATCACTTGTTCATGTGATTCACGATCCTTGGAACCTCCTATGTGCTGCATCTTTGGATGGAAATTGGAGTCCCAGAGACAAATGAGGCTCCACCCTGCTTCCAGAAGCTCAGAGTCCAGGGCTGAGAACCCAGTAGAGAACATATCAGGTTATATGGACATAGTAATGATAACACTGGAAACTTTTGGCGAATAAAGAGTCACATTATCGAAACCATGAGGGCAGACATGTTTATTTGAAGAGGAGAGAGCTACACTGAAGTTATAAAAAAAATTTATAAATTTTACTGATGACAGAAGGCTGAAAGATAGTCTGAGGGGAGGTGGAACAGCATGAGGGAAGGTGGAACAGCAAGTGTGTAAGTGCCGTGTTAAGAGGGAGCCTCTTGTATGTTTGGAATTGTGAGTTCCTCAGTGTGATTGCAGCCTCAAGTAGGACTAGGAAGTAAGCCAGTTAGGTTGGAGAGGTGGGCAGGGGTCAAGTGAAATAGATACTTGTGGGCTAAGCAAAGGAGTGTGTTTTCTCTGCAGCAGGCAGTGGCGACCTTAGGCATTTGTAAGCAAGAGAGAGGCATGTTCAGATTCGTGGTGTGAGGAAGAGCGATCCCCTAAGATGCAGACTGATGCCTTCAGATTCCAGCTGCTGGTTCATTGGATCTGGCAACCTGGTTTTGAGACAGGGCTGTTGTCTCCCTAGAAAACCCCCTCAAGACCTGACTGTGGTGCTCGTGGGCAGGAGACAACTTTGGATCTGGGCTCAGCATTTGGAAGTTCCGTGTACACGCTGGTATCTGTTAGGGGTGTCTTGGGCCTCTGAGAAGGGCGACTGATTTTTCTCTGTATGAAAACGCAGTGATCCAACTGTGCGTACGTCACCTCCTGAGGGTCTTGTTCATCAGAGTCCTGGAGAGAGGGAAATGCTGAGTGAGGGAGGGTGCTCACATTTTTCAGGACTATTAGGGATAAGACTGTATCCGTGAGGCTGGGCCGAGGAGGACCTACCTGCCTATTCACTGTTCTGTCCCCCGCAGGCTCTTGGTCCATTACAGCAGCATCTGTAGGAGACGGAAGTCATCAAAACCGCTTGGAGGGCCCTTCTGGGTCCTCATTTCATGGGCAGACACCAACCCACAGGGGGAGGCTGTAGGTGCCTGAGGCTCTTCAGCTGCCAACATCCAGACTCAGACATTCTATCTCTCTGAGTTCAAGACCCCATCCCATGAAGTGCTCTCAATTGGCATCCCATTGATTCTGTCTCCCACTTTCTGCCTGTCATGGAAGCTTCTGGATGTCAGTAGCTGCAGGGGATGTGAGGATACAGTTCAGAACCAGGCAATGGTCTGTGAGCTGAAGGCAGGGGCAGGTTGTCTGGTGCTCTCTCTAGAAAGCCCTGCCTCTGTGGCTCCTCCCTTGGGCCAGGGACCATCCTGCCAGTGAGGAACACACACCCGCGTGCTCCCATCCTGCTTCCCCACATGGCCCTGAGCTCTCTGGCCTCTGCTTCGTGAGACTTACTCTTTTTGTTGGAGCACCAGCGATAAAGGAGAAAGAAGAGGAGGAGGATGAAGAGGAAGATGACCACTGAGGTCCCAATCAGAACATGCAGGTGTCTGCAGATACCTGGAGGAAGATGGGAATCCAATAAGAAGCTAATCATAGCAGTTCCTCTTTATGGATTGTCTCATTTCTTGATTGACAGGTAACCACATGGAACATCTCCTTAGGACAAGCAGCCTGATGGCGGGAGACCCAGCTTTCTCCTGCTTTCTCAGTTACAGCTCTCATAGAAACCATAGAACATGCTGAGGATACAGCTGCTTTAGTTTAGATGTTTGACCCTTTGAAACCTCACACTGAAATATTGAAATTTAACCCCCAGTGTGGAAGTTTGGGCCTATGGGAAGGTGTTTGAGTCATGGAGGTGGATCCATCATGAATAGATTAATGCTGCCCCACATGATGGGGTTAGCAAGTTCCCCCTCTATTAGTTCCCGGAGGGCTGGTTGTTAAAAAGAGCTTGGAAGCTCCATCGCTCGCCCTCCCCCTTGCTCCCTCTCTTGCCATGTGATCTCTGTGGTCTCTGCACAGACAGACCCTCCTTCCCTTCTGCCAGAGTGGGAGCAGCCTGAGGCCGTCACAGGAAACAGATGCTGGTGCCATGCTTCCAGTACAGCCTGCAGAACTGTGAGGCAAACAAATCTGTTTTCTCTAGAAGTTGCCCAGGCTCTGGGATGCAAGGCTGGTTCAATATATGCAAATCAATAAATGTAATCCATCATATAAACAGAACCAAAGACAAAAACCGGACGACTATCTCAATAGATGCAGAAAAGGCCTTTGACAAAATTCAACAACGCTTCATGCTAAAAACTCTCAATAAATTAGGCATTGATGGGACGTATCTCAAAATAATAAGAGCCATCTATAACAAACCCACAGCCAGTATCATACTGAATGGGCAAAAACTGGAAGCATTCCCTTTGAAAACTGGCACAAGACAGGGATGCCCTCTTTCACCACTCCTATTCAACATAGTGTTGGAAGTTCTGGCCAGGGCAATTAGGCAGGAGAAGGAAATAAAGGGTATTCAATTAGGAAAAGAGGAAGTCAAATTGTCCCTGTTTGCAGATGACATGATTGTATATATAGAAAACCCCATTGTCTCAGCCCAAAATCTCCTTAAGCTGATAAGCAGCTTCTACAAAGTCTCAGGATACAGAATCAATGTACAAAAATCACAAGCATTCTTATACACCAATAACAGACAAACAGAGAGCCAAATCATGAGTGAACTCCCATTCACAATTGCTTCAAAGAGAATAAAATACCTAGGAATCCAACTTACAAGGGATATGAAGGACCTCTTCAAGGAGAACTACAAACCACTGCTCAATGAAATAAAAGAGGATACAAACAAATGGAAGAACATTCCATGCTCATGGGTAGGAAGAATCAAGATCGTGAAAATGGCCATACTGCCCAAGGTAATTTATAGATTCAATGCCATCCCCATCAAGCTACCAATGACTTTCTTCACAGAATTGGAAAAAACTACCTTAAAGTTCATATGGAATCAAAAAAGAGCCTGCATTGCCAAGTCAATCCTAAGCCAAAAGAACAAAGCTGGAGGCATCATGCTGCCTGACTTCAAACTATACTACAAGGCTACAGTAACCAAAACAGCATGGTACTGGTACCAAAACAGAGATATAGATCAATGGAACAGAATAGAGCCCTCAGAAATAATGCCACATATCTACAACTATGTGATCTTTGACAAACCTGAGAAAAACAAGCAATGGGGAAAGGATTCCCTATTTAATAAATGGTGCTGGGAAAACTGGCTAGCCATAGGTAGAAAGCTGAAACTGGATCCCTTCCTTACACCTTATACAAAAATTAATTTGAGATGGATTAAAGACTTAAACGTTAGACCTAAAACCATAAAAACCCTAGAAGAAAACCTAGGCATTACCATTCAGGACATAGGCATGGACAAGGACTTCATGTCTAAAACACCAAAAGCAACGGCAACAAAAGCCAAAATTGACAAACGGGATCTAATTAAACTAAAGAGCTTCTGCACAGCAAAAGAAACTACCATCAGAGTGAACAGACAACCTACAAAATGGGAGAAAATTTTCGCAACCTACTCATCTGACAAAGGGCTAATATCCAGAATCTACAATGAACTCAAACAAATTTACAAGAAAAAAACAAACAATCCTATCAAAAAGTGGGCAAAGGACATGAACAGACACTTCTCAAAAGAAGACATTTATGCAGCCAAAAAACACATGAAAAAATGCTCACCATGACTGGCCATCAGAGAAATGCAAATCAAAACCACAATGAGATACCATCTCACACCAGTTAGAATGGCGATCATTAAAAAGTCGGGAAACAACAGGTGCTGGAGAGGATGTGGAGAAATAGGAACACTTTTACACTGTTGGTGGGACTGTAAACTAGTTCAACCATTGTGGAAGTCAGTGTGGCGATTCCTCAGGGATCTAGAGCTTGAAATACCATTTGACCCAGCCATCCCATTACTGGGTATAAACCCAAAGGACTATAAATCATGCTGCTATAAAGACACATGGACACGTATGTTTATTGTGGCACTATTCACAATAGCAAAGACTTGGAACCAACCCAAATGTCCAACAATGATAGACTGGATGAAGAAAATGTGGCACATATACACCATGGAATACTATGCAGCCATAAAAAATGATGAGTTCATGTCCTTTGCAGGGACATGGATGAAATTGGAAATCATCATTCTCAGTAGACTATCACAAGGACAAAAATCCAAACACCGCATGTTCTCACTTATAGGTGGGAATTGAACAATGAGAACACATGGACACAGGAAGGGGAACATCACACTCTGGGGACTGTTGTGGGGTGGGGGGAGGGGGAGGGATAGCATTAGGAGATATACCTAATGCTAAATGACGAGTTGATGGGTGCAGCACACCAGCATGGCACATGTATACATATGTAACTAACCTGCACATTGTGCACATGTACCCTAAAACTTAAAGTATAATAATAATAAAAATTTTAAAAAAAAGCTCATCAGAAGCACTATACAAAAAAAAAAAAAAAAAAAAGAAGTAACCCAGGCTCAAGTGTTCTTTTATAGCAACAAAAATGGACTAAGACAGCAACGTCCTGAGATCAGGAGGAACGTCTCAGAACAGCCTGTGCTGTCTTCCTGTTCTTCCTGGAGGAGGACGTCATGCAGTGCTTTAGCTGAGTGCTTCCTGTGGCTTCAGGGTACAAAACCCAGGCTGGGCTATTTTCTGGCTTCCCCCAGATACACTGCAAATGAGGTGACTCCATATGTCCCGAGCAGCTTTTCTGAGCCTTGAGGGACTGGCTCACGTTGAAATGTAGGCTTCTGTTGTCACTCGCTGCTTATCTGTTAGTAATGAACCTGCCTATGTAACGTATTCTCTGTGTGTTCTGTCTCCCTGGAGTGACGGTGAGTGATAGAAATTGGCATAGGCCCAGGTGCAGTACAGCAGGTGTTTAGAGTCTTCTCTGGAAAGACTGGACTGGGATTGATACACAGTGAATGTGCTTTACAGTTTCTACATCCACAACCCTCTTGACTCAAATTACATTCTCCAAGAAAAGGACACAAAAGTGAAATCAAGATCAAAAAAGCAAAGTAGAATTCTCTTATGTCAAACAGCCAGGAAATAATGATGAAGCCCATGTGAAACGTGCTACTCTTTGTGATCTCGCGAGACACATGTTAGGCTGCTGTTCCACCTGAGAGGCTGGGGGAAAGACCACCCCCTCCACCATCTATTGCTTCAAAACCACCTGTCCTCCTGTGAATTAGTAGGAAAGGGGAGCAGGAGCTAGTGCTGGTGCTGATCTCTGATTCCAAGATCTGAACTCACTCCAAGGAGTATTAGCGTTTACCTCCCCATGATCTATCTGTATCTCCACAGGTGATTGGAAGTAGGGGTGAGGTGGGGGATTTGGGTGAGGGGGAAAGTTTCTTGTGATGAACAGAGCACTTTCCCTATTTCAGGGCCTGTGCTGGTGGGTTCAGGGGGCTTTCATATTTTCCATATGATCTCATGTTCACAGAAAGCCAAATATGGAAGAGGTTTTAGGCTGATTTTCTAATGGATAAGATAAAGGATCAAAGAAGTAATTATAGAGGAATAGAAAAATGATGATTGGAATTCAGGTGCCTGCATCATTTGTGTATATTATTATATTTATGTATTTTTTATTTTTATTTTTTGAGACAGAGTATCCCTGTGTAGCCCAGGCTGGTGTGCAGTGATGCGATCTCCACTCACTGCAACCTCTGCCTCCAGGGCTGAAGTCATTCTCCTGCTTCCTCCTCCAGAGTAGCTGGGATTACAGTCATGCACCACCATCATGCCTGTTTAATTTTTGTATTTTTAGTAGAGATAGGGTTTCTCCATGTTGGCCAGGCTGGTCTCGAACTCCTGACTTCATGTGATCCACCCGCGTTGGCCTCCTGAAGTGCTGGGTTACAGGCGTGAGCCACCGTTCACAGCCTTGTATATTATGCTATACTAGGTCCCTTCATTTGCACCACCCCTCATCTAGCTCTCCCTCCTCTGCCAGGTATTGATTTAGATGCAGGAGAAATAAATCTCAGAAATAAGTTAGTGAAGCGAGGATTAAACTACCAGGAAAAATTAAACCCAGCAAGCCTTTCCAGCCAATGATTCTACCTCACAAACATATCTTATATCCATCTACTTCATTCATTTAGTGTCTAAATCAGCACCACATTTCACCAGTGGGGCGGCAATTGCCTTTTCCACGGTCTCCTAGATTCCAGTTATGCACCTGGGCCTCCCTTATTTTCATGTCAGTCATATTAATCATGTAGGGATTCCTGGTTACCCCGAGGTGAATCCAATGGCTGTGAGTGTCAAGCACACACTCCTTGTTCCTCCTTAGTTTCCTGTGTACCCAGTGTGCTCTCCGTCTCTCTACAGTCGTCTTGTCATTCTCCCCACCTCATTCCCAGCATTTGAGTCAGAGCCTCTTCCTTCCACATCAGATTGTTTTCACCTTTGTGCCTTCATGGCTGACAGCTGTGTGTGCAAAATCCTTCCGCCAATCTTTCAGGGGTTCATTCCGTGTTTTTCATTAATGTCACAAATATCTGAATAGTGAGACCTTCTTTGTCACCTGAAATCATACACTCAGCATTATCTATTATTGATTTTGAATTCTGGCTGGGCACAGTGGCTCACGCCTGTAGTCCCATTACTTTGGCATGCTGAGACGGTCGGATCACTTGAGGTTGGGAGTTTCAGACAAGCTTGGCCAACGTGGTGAAACATCCTCTCTACAAAAAATATACAAAAAGAATTAGCCGGGCACGGTGGCAGTTGCCTGTAATCCCAGCTACTCGAGAGGCGGAGGCAGGAGAATCCCTTGAATCCAGGAGACGCAGGTTGCAGTGAGCCAAGATCGTGACACTGCACTGTAGCCTGGAAGACAGAGGGCGACTCTGTCTCAATAAACAAAAGAACAAACAAAAAATAGATTTCATGCACAGATGCTTCCCAATGGACCATTCATTTATAGATCCACTTGTGCGTTCATTTTCTGCCCTCCCATTTAACCATCTGCAATATCAGTGTCCCAAGGGCAGAGGCCAAATGCATCTTGTTCACTGTTTGTGGAAGGCAGGAGAATGCTGTCCCACCCCAAAATGTCCCTGTCCTAGCCTCCACAGCTTGTGAATATGTTATTTTACATGGAAAGGAGGAATGAAGATTGCAGATGGAATTATGGTTGCTAATCAGCTGAACTTAAAACAAGGGTATCCTGGATGATTTCCAGGAGATTATGAGGGATTTTCATCTTGGTGAACCCAATAGAATCCCCAAGTTTTCAAAAGATGAGGAAGAAGGGAGAGCAGCACTCAGAGAAAGAGGTGTGGTAAGGAAGAAGGCACTGAGTGATGCCATGTGAGATGTGACCAGTCTTTGTGGGCTTTGAGGAAGGAGGAAGGGGACCAGGAGCCAAGGAACTGGGAGCCTTTAGAAGCTGGGACAAGTGAGAAGCAGATTCGTGCCTGGAATCCTCAGAGGGAAGGCAACCTTGCTGTCACCTTGATTTTAGCCCAGTAAGATGCACTTCCTACTTTGAGCTACAGCACTGTAAGATAATTAAAAAACCGTTTTGTTTTCACCCACGAATCTTGTGGAAATTTGTTATGGCAACAATAGGAAAAGGTTCCACACTGCACAGCCTGAGCATGGGGCCGTGGCTGAATGAGTCAGTGAGTCGAAGTGTGCGTGCATGAGCTCTGTTCTCTGTTACGGCAAGGCTCTTTCTCTGCGGAGTCAGCCAGGGTTGCTTCATGACCTACAGGAGCTCATTCCTTGGCAAGTGGAACTTCTCTAAAACACCTTGCCCTCATCAGATGTTCCCTTCCCTTCCCTCTCTCAAGTCTCCAGGAATTTATCCTCCAGTTAGGAATGCAGGTAGAACAAACATTGCATTTTTCCTGAGAAGGATGTCAGATTGGCAATCATTCTTCTAGCTTGTAGGAGGTCTCAGCTCCATAAAATGAGAGATGAAGAGATTTCACTGAGCCCTGTGTTGGGCCCAGATCCCTTTCGCTGTAGGAGTATCTGGAGTTCGGAGATGGTGGAAGACAAGTGTACAATGTCAGAGCTGTGAGATGCTGAGTCAACGCCTGAATCCAAGGTTCCCACCTCCCCAGGGTTCCAAAAGCGGATATAAGAGGGTTCTGTACTCACCGGTTTTGGAGCTTGGTTCAGTGGGTGAAGGCCAACTATTTGAAGGGTTTCCTAGAACATGAGACAGGAGAGAGGTGAGGAAATGAGGGTGTCTGTCCTCCACTCAGTGGAAATCTTTGAGGATGGTTCATGGCCAACACTCTCTTATCTAATATTGGGCCCTGGGAGTCCTGGGATCCTTTTTTCCATAATTTTTTTATATGACACCCACTGTCTTGAGACTTCAAGATATAAAGAGAAAACAGGAGCATCACACTACCTGATCTCAAAATATGTTACAGAGCTGTAGTAAGCAAAATAGCATGACATTGGCATAAAGAAAGGCACATAGAACAACGGAGCAGAATGAATAACACAGATATATTCCATGCATTTACATCCAATGGTTTTTTATTTTTTCTTTTGAGATGGAGTCTTGCTCTGTCACTCAGGCTGGAGTGCAGAGGTGCAATCTCGGTTCACTGCAACCTCAGCCTCCTGGGTTCAATCATTCTCTTGCCTCAAATTCCTGAGTAGTGGTATTACAGGTGCTGACCACCATGCTCAGCTAATTTTTATATTTTTAGTGGAGACGATGTTTCATCACGTTGGCCAGACTAATCTTGAACTCCTGGCCTCAGGTGATCCACCCACCTCGGGCTCCCAAAGTGCTGAAATTGCAGGTGTTAGCCACCAAGCCCAGCCCATCCAATGGACTTTGACAAAGATGCCAAGAACTCACAATCAGGAAAGGACAGTCTTTTCAATAAACAGTGCAGGGAAACCTGGACATCTACATGCAGAGGAATGAAACTGCAACTCTACCTGTCACCATACACAAAAATCAAATGAAAATGGATTAAAGATGTGAGTCTAAGGCCTGAACCTATGAAACACGTAGAACAAAATATTGGGGAAATGCTCCAGGACGTTTGTCTGAAGGAAGACATTTTGTTTTAAACCTTCAAAACACAAGTAATCGAAGCAAAAATAGACCATTGGGATTACCTCAAACTAAGCAACTTCAGCACTGCTAAAAATAAACCAACAAAGTGAAGAGACAACCCACAGATTGGGAGCAAATATGTGCAAACTATGCATCTGAGATGGGATTAATAACTAGAAATATAAGAAGCTCAAACAACTCAATAAAACAAATGATTTAATTGAAAAAGGAGCAAAAGACATGAAATTTCCCCACATACGAAAAAGTGCTCAGTATCACTCATCATCAGAGAAACGCAAATTAAAATCAAAGTGAGTTTTCATCTCACCCCATTAAAATGGCTTTTAGGCCGGGTGAGGTGGCTCACTTGTGTCATCCTAGAACTTTGAGAACCTGAGGTGGGTGAATCTCATAAGGTTGGGAGTTTGAGACCAGTCTGACCCACATAGAGAAACGCTGTCTCTACTAAAAATACAAAAATTAGTAGGGCGTGGTGGCGTGTGCCTGTAATTCCAGCTACTCGGGAGGCTGAGGCAGGAGAATCGCTTGAACCTGGGAGGTGGAGGTTGTGGTGAGCCGAGATAGCGCCACTGCACTCCAGCCTGGGTGAGAAGAGCAAAACTCCATCTCAAAATAAAATGAAATAAAATAAAATGGCTTTTAGCTGCAAGACAGGCAAAAGAAATGCTGGCAAGGTGGTAGAGAAAGGAGAACCCTGGTACCCTGTTGGGAGGAGTGTAAATTAGTACAGCCATTACGGAGAAAAGTATGGAAGTCCTTTAAAGAACTAAAAAGAGGTTGGGTGAGGTGGATCATGCCTGTAATCCCGGCACTTTGGGAGACTGAGGCGGGCACCTCAGTTGAGGTCATGAGTTTGAGAGCAGCCCAGCCAACATGGGGAAACCGCATCTATACTAAAAAAACCAAAAAGTAGCCAGGCATGGTGGTGTGCACCTGTAATCCCAGCTACTAGGGAGGCTGAGGCAGGAAAATCATTTGAACCCAGGAGGCGGAGGTTGCAATGAGCCAACGTTGCACCACTTTGACTCCAGCTTGGGCTAAGGAGGGAAACTCTTTCTCAAAAAAGAAAAAAAAAAAAAAAGAGAACTTTCATAGTATCCAGCAATTTCACTACTGGGTTTATATCCAAAGGAAAGTAAATCAACATATCGAAGTGATATCTGCACTCGTATGATTGGTGCAGCACTGTTCACAGTAGCCAAGATGAGGAGTCAACCTACCTGCCCATCAGTGGGTGAATGGATAGAGAGAATGTAGTACATACGCACAGTGGAGACTACTCATCCATAGAAAGAATAACATCCTGTCATTTGCAGCCACATGGATGGAACTGGAGGTCATTAAAAAGATTCCCATTTCTCACCCATATACAGGAGCTAAAAGGTGGATCTCATGAAGGTAGAGAGTAGAATGGTGGCTACTGGAGGACAGGAAGAAAAGGGTGGAGGGTAAAAAAAATGTATATATATATATATATAAAAATGTATTTATGACCACTAGACTTTACACTTAAAAATGGTAAATGTGGCTGGGCCTGGTGGCCCATGCCTGTAATCCCAGCACTTTGGGAGGCTGATGCGGGTGGATCACGTGGTCAGGAGTTCGAGACCAGCTCGACCAACATGGTGAAACCACCTCTCTACTAAAAATACAAAAAGTAGCCTGGCGTGGTGGTGCGTGCCTGTAGCACTAGCTACTCAGGTGGCTGAGGCAGGAGAATCGCTTGAACCCAGGAGGCGGAGGTTGCAGTGAGCTGAGATTGTGCCACTGCACTCCATCATAGGGGACAGAGCTAGACTCCACCTCAAAAAAAAATGTTAAAAGTGGTAAGCTATATAGGTATATTTATCCTCAATAAATATTTCTTCAAAGAAAAGTAAAGGGTGTAGGGGTTGCTGGTGATGACATCTCTGTGTGGGTGAGAGGCCAGGATGGGCTTCTGGGAAATGGGTAAGGTTGAGGGGCTGAGGGAACCTCTGATCTCCCCAAACTGAGCCCAGTCTCCCTCCTCTGGGTCTCTCCTGACCGCTTTCTCCATCTGCCTGGGTGCCTGGAGCCCTGGCCGTGGGCCTCCATGCAGGCCATGTAGGAGGGTTTGGAGGTGCCCTGTCGGCCATCCTGTGCCCTGATCCCTCCCTCACACCGAGGCTGCGTCTTCTCTCTGCATCTGTCCATGCTTCTCTCCATCCTCAGCAGGAAGCTCCTCAGCTAAGGCTCTAGGATCATAGGACATGGGACAGCCATGGGCTTTCCTCACCTGTGACAGAAACAAGCAGTGGGTCACTTGACTTTGACCACTCGTATGGAGAGTCATGGAAAGAGCCGAAGCATCTGTAGGTCCCTCCGTGGGTGGCAGGGCCCAGAGGAAAGTCAGCCTGGAATGTTCCGTTGACCTTGGGCCCTGCAGGGAGCCTACGTTCATGGGCCTCCCCTTCCCTGGATAGATGGTACATGTCATAGGAGCTCCGGGAGCTGCAGGACAAGGTCACATTCTCTCCTGCCAGAACCGTGGGGCCCGGCTGGGCTGAGAGAGAAGGTTTCTCATATAGACCTGGAAGGAGAAGAGGCAGTTTCCTCAGGGAGGATCTTCTTTGTCACAGCTCCCTTCACCTGAGCTGAGAACTCACTCCCCTGTTCTATGACCTAATGCTCTCTCTCTCTCTCTCTCACCCTCTACCCCATCGCTCTTCATGTCTATTTCCTCCTTCCACCTTCTCTGTCTCTCTAGGTCTCTGACCTCACTTCCCCACCTCTAGATATGTTTTCTCTTTTTGGATTGTTTTATTCTCTCTGACTCTCCTTGGATTGGTTGACTTGAAGTTACTTTTTTTAATTCTGAGTTTCTCACTTTGTGTCCTGTTCATAACTTTCTGCATATTTCTATCTATTATCTATCGATCTATCTATTTATCTATTCGGTGCCTATCTACAAATTCTCTACCTGTCATCTATATCTATATATCATCTATTTATCCATCAATTGTCTATCTATCCATCAATCATCTATTATCTATATCTATGTATCATCTCTCTCTCTCTATGATTTCTCTATGTCTGCCTCTGTATCTCTATGTATTATCTATCTATCTGTCTTCATCATCATCATCTCTATGTCTCATCTATTAATGAATCAATCAATCATCATCTATGTATCTATAACCTATTATCTATCATCTACCTATTTATCATCTATCTATATCTATCCATCTATCATCTGTCTTGCTCTGCCTCTCGGTCTCTCTAGTTCTCTTTGGAATCTCTGCAATTCATCCCCACATCTCCATCTTTCAATGTCCTTGTGCCTCTCCCTCAGGAGTCTAATTTTAGTGCTTTTCTCTGCTCCCTTCCATCATTCTCACTTCTCTGCCCTCTTTTCTCTCTCTTTATGTGTCTGTGAGTCTCTCAATCTCCTTCCTCTGGCTCATTCTCTGTGTGTTTATGTCTTTGCTTTTTGGTGTCCCTGATTTCTCTCTGTGGCCTCTCACTGATCCTCTCATAAGTGGGCTTATTTGGAATATGAGCCTCAGAATCCAGTCTGGAGACTACAAGTTCACACAGCATACAGGGGTTGGTGTTGTGGGGCCATGATATCCTGGGACGATTACTCTCCATTACATGGAAGGCAGAGGTGTCAGAATAAACATGGCATCTGTAGGTGCCACAAGGCCTGAGGCCACAGGGCCCAACTCAGGTCAGAAATATGGGTGTCCTTGGGTTCTCCTGGTAGAGAACACTTTGTGGAGGTAAAACAGAAATGAAACTTCTAACCTGTGCCAGGTCTCTGAGCAAAGTCAGCATGGAGGGACACCTCTCTCTGGGACATGTCTGTCTGTGTGTCTCCTTTAACTCTTTCTGTCTTTTCTAACTCCCGGTATGGCCCCTGTGTCTGTTCTCTGTTATGACACCTGGTCTCTACTTGTGTCTCCTGTTTCTCTGTCTCTGTTGGCACAGACCTCACCAAGTCAGTCTCTCTCCATAAGAATACCAAGCTCATCTTCCTTACAGCCACCTGGGTCTCCAATTCCTGGATCATTCACTCTGCATCCCAATGACAATGAGAAGAAAGTCTGGACACTCTCACCTATGATCACGATGTCCAGAGGGTCACTGGGAGCTGACACCTGATAGGGGGAGTGAGTAACAGAACCGTAGCATCTGTAGGTCCCTGCCAGGTCTTGCGTCATGCGACTGATGGAGAAGTTGGCCTTGGAGACCCCATCATGGTGTTCTCCAATGAGGCGCAAAGTGTCGTTAAACATCCCCTCTCTGTGCAGAAGGAAGTGTTCAAACATGACATCTGACCAACATTGCAGGATGACTGTCTCTTCTGATTTCACCAGGGGACCTGGGTGGGCCAGGAGGGAAGGTTTTCTGTGGACTCCTAGGAAGAGAGGTTGTGAGTTTAGAAGGTGTCTCTCTTTATCATCCCATCCATGGCACCTGGATTGAGTCAGGCTTCCCCTTCCTGGTGTCTTATCTCTCTCCTTCCTCTCTGTGTCTTCATGTTCTTTTCTGTGCCCATAACTCCTGGTGCAGGTCCTTCCATCTGTCTCCCTCACTCTTCTCTGTCCCTCTGTCTCTAGTAGCCTCTGATTCCCTTGCCGCTGGGCTCAGCCTCATCTCTTGGGCTGTTGTATCTATTTCGAACTAATGTCTTTCCTGCTGTCTATGTGGGGGTGGAAGAGGAACCAGGATAGGCTGCACATCCAGGCTCTTAGCAGCCTGGTTCAATCTCTTTTGGACGAATTGGAATCCTTGGCAGGAGGTATGAACTGATCAGTAAGGCAGGCACCAGTGGCCACACACCCTGTTCCTGGTAGGGACTGGGAGCCACTCTTGCCATGCCAGTGCCAGCTTCCATAGGCTGGCTCCTGGTGCTGGTTGGAGGAGTATCAACCGCTCCCTATGTGGATGGAGCCTGGTGGTGGCATCATCATCTGAGCCTTGCTGATCTCAGTGTAGCCAACCTTCTCCTTGTTTGGTTTCTTTAATTAATTAATTAATTTTGGCAACAGAGTCTCACTCCTTTGCCCAGGCTGGAGTGAAGTGGTGTGGTCTAGGCTCACTGCAACCTCTGTCTCCTGGGTTCAAGTGATTCTCCTGCCCTCAGCCTCCCAAGTCGCTAGGATTACATGCACCTGCCACCATGCCTGGCTATCCTTGTGTTGTTTCTTAACTTGTCCTTGACCTGGGTTCCAGTGTTGGTTTCCTGTTGCTGCTGTAGAAAATTATCAGAAGCATGGCACCAGGAGAGAGCACACTAACCCCTTCCAATTCTGGAGACAGAAATCGGACCCTGTTTGTCGTGGGTAAAATCAAGGCACCTGCAGGGCTTCGTTCCCTCTGGAGACTCAGGAGAATCAGTTCCTTGACTTTTCCAGCCTCTATAGGCCACCTGCATTCATGGCTCCTGGACTTCCTCCACCTTCAAAGCTGATGGAGACTCCCATTATGCTGCTGTAATCCCCACTCCCCTCTTCCTCCTCCTTTCATGTGGACCCCTGTGACTACACTGAGCCCATCAGGACAGTCCAGGCTGTCTCCCCATCTCAAGGTCAACTCATCAACAACCTGACCTCCATCTTCTCCTTCAGTCCCTTCCCCTATATCATAAATAGTCACAGACTCCAGGGATTAGAATGTAGTCATCACTGGGGACAATTATTCTTCCCACCACAGCACCCATTTCCCTGTATTCAATCCCCCTTTACCCCAAATACAGTCAGGACTTGCATGATGGGACCCGCAAGGACACGCCCACCAGGAGCTCTGGGATTCAGGAGGTGGGACAAGGAGAATCCCAGACAGGAGCCCTCTGACCTGTGACCGTGATCTCCAGGGGGTTGCTGGGTGCCGACCACCCACTGGGGTAGTGTGGTTGTGAACCCCGACATGTATAGGTCCCTGCGTGTGCTGGGGTCACAGGGCCCATGAAAAGGCTGTTCCAGAATATTATGTTGTAGAGCTCAGGGACAGGCACCCCATCTTCCTTTTACAGACTGAAGTTGTTAAACCCAAGATAAGAATGACACTGAAGAATCACATGTCCTGGAGGCACCACAGGGCTTGGCCAGGCAGACAGCAAGGGCTTGTCCTGACCACCGTGGGGAGAAGGAGGCACCGCCTTAGAGAGGAGGATGTGGAGCCGCCCCTCCCTCCCTGTGCTCTGAAGATTCTCCTCGCTTTCCAAGTTTCTATGGCTGCTATCACACCTTGGTGCCCAGGGCTAAAGGAAGGACCCATCCCGCAAACACAAGGTGTCTCCCTACAACAAAAGTGTCAGCTGAGAACTTTGAGCAAGTGCTGAGTAAGAGACTCCTACTAGATTTTAATACTGTAAGATTACTCACATAAAACAACACAGGGTAGACATGGGGTGGAGGGCATGTCCTTTGAGAATGGAATATCAGCCGATGCCTGAACGAAAATAAACAACTGAGTCCCCATCAGAGGATTGGAATGTCAGGGCCATGGCTGTGGTTTTCCCACCTCTTCTGGTAGAATGACAGCAGCCACACTGCAGCCCCTACCGTCATGGAAACGCTGAAGTGTGTGAGTAACACCTTTGTCCTCAGAGGATCTGCTGTTCCTACCACTTCCCCACCACACACCCCAGCTTTGAGCACCGTAGTCTAACCCTGGTCCCCACAGAACTTGACTCTGCCAAGGGAATGAAAGGCCAGGGAGGCAAGGTCAGAAATGTGGGCCCAGCACCCCAGGGTCCCTTCTTCCTAGTTTATGAGAGACTCCCTGACAGGACTTCCCTCCCATTTCAGGAAAATCCTCTTATGTGGGGAGATGACACCCGAAGGTTTGGAGAAGGACTCACCCTCATGTGGCCAGGCCCCCTGCAGCAAGAAGAACCCTGGAAAGAAAGATCATGATGGATGACCCATCTGCAGGCAAACCAGGGCACCCTTGCTGCCCCCACTGGGCTGTGAGTCTTGGTAGCCAGGCCCTTCCTGGGCTGAAGGTAAACTCACCCTCAGTGCCTACCTGCACCCAAGAACAGGGCTGTCGGCTGTGCAGAGACCCAGCCTCCAGGTCCATATCCCCACCTCAAGCCCATATCTCCACTCCAGGCCCATATCTCCACTCCAGGCCGATATTTCCACCCTAAGCCCATATCGCCAATCCAGGCCCATATCTCCAATCCAGGCTCAGATCTCCACCCTGGGCCCATATCTCCAATCCAGGCCCTTATCTCCACTCCAGGTCCATATCTCCTCTCCAGTCCCATATCTCCACTCCAGGCCCATATATCCTCTCCAGTCCCATATCTCCACACCCAGGCCCGTATCTCCATCCTAGGCACATATCTCCTCTCCAGGCCCAGATATCGACCTCTAGGCCCATATCTCCACTCCTGGCCCATATCTCCACTCCAGGCCCAGATATCGACCTCTAGGCCCATATCTCCACTCCTGGCCCATATCTCCACTCCAGGCCCATGTCTCCACTTCAGGCCCATATCTCTACTGCAGGCCCGTAACTCCACCTCCAGGCCCATGACTCCACTCCAGGCCCATATCTCCACCTCCAGGCCCATATCTCCCCTCCAGGTTCCTATCTCCCCTCCAGGTTCCTATCTCCACTCCAGGCCCAGATCTCCACTACAGTCCCATCACTCCACCTCCAGGCCTATATCTCGACCTCTGGGCCCAGATCTCCACTTCTAGGCCCATCACTCCATCTCTAGGCCCATATATCCACTCCAGGCCCAGATCTCCACTCCAGGCCCATAACTCCACCTCCAGGCCTATATCTCCACCTCTGGGCCCAGATCTCCATCCCCTCACTCCCTCCCTCTATTGCTTTCCAGGACTCACCAACACACGCCATGCTGACGACCAAGAGCGACATGGTGCTGCCGGAGCAGACAGGCAGCCGCGACCGAGCTCAGCTCAGCAGCGCACAGGATGTTATTTGGCGCCCTGCCCATGCAGTTTACATGTTGACCACATCATGGGAGGGTGACGTACGCAGGCTTTTTCTACCTTGCATGAGGCCCAGTGGGTGCTCGCTCAAGAGCGGAACACGGCTTCCTGGAAATTGTTCTCGCTAGAATTTGACACCTAGTGTCCTTCACTATGACCAACTCAAAACACGTCTGAGATCCAACCTCCCGAACACGAGATGCCTAAAATCTGTGCTAACATGAAAGACTTTTCATGTATTTCTATTGTTTTTATCTGAGATTCAAACTCTTCTTCCTGTGTAATATGCAAAATATCTAATAGGTATTATTAATGTTTTCAGAGTCATTGTGACTAACAAACCATTAGAATTTTTCATGCTTGTATTTCTAGTATTACAGCAGAACCAGTTAAAATGATTTAAATTCCCAGGGAAGGATTATGCAATTATTTACAATCTTAGAATTGTACTTTATCAGTAAAAACCCCACCTGTAAATTCTGGAGTTTTGTAGTTTAATCTAAAATTTGTCTCATGACCCAAGATTCCAGAGTCCCAACTCTGGAGTTTGTTTTCCGTCTGTCTCTCTCCCTCCCTCATTTTAAATTTTACAGAAATATCCAGTAACATAATGCTATAGAAAATCAAGTTTCCCCAGCACGTTGGGAAGCCGAGGTGGGCGGATCAACTGAGATAAGGAGTTTGAGAGCAGCCTGGCCAATATAGTGAAACCGTGTCTCTGCTAAAAATCCAAAAATTAGCCGTGCCTGGTGGCAGGCACCTGTAACGCCAGCTACTCAAGAGGCTGAGGCACGAGAATCGCTTGAACCTGGGAGGCAGAAGTTGCAGTGAGCTGAGATTGTGTCACTGCAGTCCAGCCTGGGCGACAGAGCAAGACTCCGCCTCAAGAAAAAAAAGCAAATAGCCTATAATAACAAATTAGAGAGCTCTGGCTACTAAATTTAAAGGGTTCTATAAGGCTACATAAAGTGCGGCATCATCAAGAGTGTGGACACAGAGAGCCCCTTAGCAGAAACAGTGTCTAAAGTACATCCGTGTACACACAGTCCCTTTAGAGTTGACAAAGGCTGCCGTGTGGTTTAAGGTGGCATAGAATGTCTTCTCAATAAATAATATTAAACCAATGGGTTATACCTAGGAAAAAATAAATCTAACTCACACTATAAAAACACTTCTTAGTTTTTATCTAGTTGTACATTTTTTATGATTTATATTTAAATTTGAGAAATAAAAGTCATATACGGTCATCCTTCACTATTCCTGGGTGATTGGTTTCGAGATCTCCACTCAGATACCAAAATCTGTAGATGCTCAAGCCTCTTATATGAAATGGCACAGAGTTTGCAAATAACCTATGCACATCCTCCTGTATACATGAAATCATCTCTAGATTACTTATAATTCCTGATGCAGCCTACACACAGCTTCATTTGTGTCCATTCAACACAGTTCTGCTTTTTGTAACTCTGTGGATACTTTCTCTGAATATTTTTGATTTATACTCGGTTCAATAAAGAACTGTAAACCCCACAGATATGGAGGAGTGACTGTATATTTATAGTGTGAAAGATGATGTGTTGATATGTGTCCCTGTGTAGATGAGACTAACAAGGCCTATGACTCTACAAATGTTTCATCTTGGAATGACTCTGCCAGATTTCCAGGTCTGCAGAGAGTAAGAATATCACTTGTTCATGTGATTCACGATCCTTGGAACCTCCTATGTGCTACATCTTTGGATGGAAATAGGAGTCCCAGAGACAAATGAGGCTCCACCCTGCTTCCAGAAACTCAGAGTCCGGGGGTGAGAACCCAGTGGAGAACAGATGGGGTTATGTGGACATGGTAATGATAACACTGGAAGTCTTAGGCAAGAAAAGAGTCCCATTACCGAAACCATGAGGGCAGACATGTTTATTTGAAGGAGGGAAAACTACATTGAAATTATTTTAAAAAATATATAAGTTTTACTGCTGACAGAAGGCTGAAAGATACTCTGAGGGGAGGTGGAACAGCATGAGGGAAGGTGGAACAGGACGTGTCTAAGTGCCGTGTTAAGAGGGAGCCTCTTGTATGTTTGGAACTGTGAGTTCCTCAGTGTGATTGCAGCCTCAAGTAGACTAGGAAGTAAGCCAGTAAGGTTGGAGAGGTGGGCAGGGGTCAAGTGAAATGGAGAATTGTGGGCTAAGCAAAGGAGTGTGTTTTCTCTCCAGCAGGCAGTGGGGACCTTAGACATTTGTAAGCAAGAGAGAGGCACATTCAGATTTGTGGTGTGAGGAAGAGCGATGCCCTAAGATGCAGACTCACGCCTTCAGATTCCAGCTGCTGGTACATGGGAGCTGGCAACCCGGTTTTGAGACAGGGCTATTGTCTCCCTAGAAGATCCCCTCAAGGCCTGACTGTGGTGCTCATGGGCAGGAGACAACGTTGGATCTGGACTCAGCATTTGGAAGTTCCGTGTACACTCTGGCATCTGTTGGGGGTGTCTTGGGCCTCTGAGAAGGGCGAGTGATTTTTCTCTGTGTGAAAACGCAGTGATCCAACTGTATGTATGTCACCTCCTGAGGGTCTTGTTCATCAGAGTCCTGGAGAGAGGGAAATCCTGAGTGAGGGAGGGTGCTCACATTTTCCAGGACTCTTTGGGAATAACACTAGCCACGAGGCTGGGCCGAGGAGCACCTACCTCGCTATTCGCTGTTCTGTTCCCTGCAGGCTCTTGGTCCATTACAGCAGCATGTGTAGGAGACGGAAGTCAACAAAAGAGCTCGGAGGGCACTTCTGGGTCCTCATTTCATAAGCAGATACCAACAAACAGGGGGAGGCCATAGGAGCCTGAGGTCCCTCAGTTGCCAACAGCAGACTCAGACATTCTATCTCTCTGAGCTCAAGGACCCATCCCATGAATAGCTCTGAGTTCCCATCCCATTGATTCTGTCTCCCACTTTCTGCCTGTCATGGAACCTTCTCCTGGATGTGAGTGGCTGCAGGGGACATGAGGATACAGTTCAGAATCAGGCAACGGTCTGTGAGCTGAAGGCAGGGACAGGGAGTCTGGTGCCCTCTCTAGAAAGTCCTGCCTCTGTGGCTGCTGCCTTGGGCCAGGGACCATCCTACCTGTGAGGAACACACACCTGAGTGCTCCCATCCTGCTTCCCCACATGGCCCGGAGCTCTCTGGCCTCTCCTTCGTGAGACTTACTTTTCTTGTTGGAGCACCAGCGATGAAGGAGAAAGAAGAAGAGGAGGATGAAGAGGATGATGACCACTGAGGTCCCAATCAGAACGTGCAGGTGTCTTGGGTTACCTGGAAGAAGATGAGACACCAATAAGAAGCTAATCATAGCAGTTCCTTTTTATGAATTGTCTCGCATTTCTTGATTGACAGGTAACCACGTAAAACACCTCTTTAGGACAAGCACCCAGATGGCGGGAGACCCAGCTTTCTCCTGCTTTCTCAGTTATAGCTCTCAAAGTAACCATAGAATGTGCTGAGGATACAACTACTTTAGTTGAGATGTTTGACCCCTTCAAACCTCACATTGAAATTTCACCCCCATTGTGGGAGGTTGGGCCTCTTGAGAGGTGTTTGGGTCATGGAGGTGGATCCATCATGAACAGATCAATGCTGTCCCAAGGAGACGGGGTTAGCAAGTTCCCCCTCTATTAGTTCCTGGAGAGCTGGTTGTTCAAAAGAACTTGGAAGCTCCATCGCTCCCCCTCCCAAGGGGGAGCTCTTGCTCCCTCTCTTGCCGTGTGATCTCTGTGGTCTCTGCACAGACAGACCCTCCTTCCCTTCTGCCAGAGTGGGAGCAGCCTGAGGCCATCACGAGAAATAGATGCTGGTGCCATGCTTCCAGTACAGCCTGCAGAACGGTGAGAGAAACCAATCTCTTTTCTTTAGAAGTTGCCCAGGCTCAAGTGTTCCTTTAGAGCAACAAAAATGGACTAAGACAGCAACGTCCTGAGATCAGGAGGAACGTCCCAGAGCAGCCTGGGCTGTCTTCCTGTTCTTCCTGGAGGAGGACGTCATGCAGTGCTTTAGCTGAGTGCTTCCTGTGGCTCCAGGGTACAAAACCCAGGCTGGGCTGCTTTCTGGCTTCCCCCAGTTACACTGCAAATGGGGTGACTCCATATGTCCCGAGCAGCTTTTCTGAGCCTTGAGGGACTGGCTCACATTGAAATGTAGGCTTCTGTTTTCACTCGCTGCTTATCTGTTAGTAATGAACCTGCCTATGTAACGTATTCTCTGTGTGTTCTGTCTCCCTGGAGTGACGGTGAGTGATAGGAATTGGCGTAGGCCCAGGTGCAGTCTAGGAGGTGTTTAGGGTCTTTTCTGGGAAGACTGCACTGGGATTGACACACAGCGAATGTGCTTTAGGATTTCTACATCCACAGCATTCTTGAGTCAAACAACTTGCGTTCTCCAAGGAAAGGAAACAAAAGTGAAATCAAGATAAAAAAGCGAAATAGAGTTATCTTATGTCCAACAGCCAGGAAATCGTGTTGAAGCCCCTGTGAAACGTCCTACTCTTTGTGATCTCGGGAGACACATGTTAGGCTGCTGTTCTACCTGAGAGGCTGGGGGAAGGACCACCCCCTCCACCATCTATTGCTTCAATACCACCTGTCCTCCTGTGAATTAGTAGGAAAGGGGAGCAGGAGCTAGTGCTGGTGCTGATCTCTCATTCCAAGATCTGGACTCACTCCAAGGAGTATTAATGTTTACCTCCCCATGGTCTATCTGAATCTCCACAGGTGATTGGAAGTAGGGGTGAAGTGGGGGATTTGAGTGAGAGGGCAAGTTTTTTTTGTGATGAACAGAGCACTTTCTCTATTCCACGATCTGTGCTGGAGGATTCAGTGGGCTTTCACATTTTCTATATGGTCTCATGCTCACAGAAAGCCAAATACGGAAGAGGTTTTAGGCTCATTGCCTAATGGATAAGACAAAGGATCAAAGAAGTAATTATAGAGAAATACAAAAATGATGATTGGAATTCAGGTGCCTTTGTCATTCGTGTGTGTTTTATTATATTTATGCATTTCTTATTTTTATTTTTTGAGACGGAGTCTCCTTGTGTCACCCAGGCTGGAGTGCAGTGATGCAATCTCCACTCACTGCAACCTCCACCTCCTGGGTTGAAGTCATTCTCCTGCTTCATCCTCAAGAGTAGGAGCTGGGATTACAGGGATGCACCACCATGCTCGGCTAATTTTTGTATTTTTCATAGAGACAGGGTTTCACCATTTTGGCCAGGCTGGTCTGGAACTCCTGACTTCAAGTGATCCACCCGCCTTGGCCTCCTGCAGTGCTGGGAATTGCCTTTTCCACGGCCTGAGCATGGGGCCGTGGCTGAATGAGTCAGTGAGTCGAAGTGTGCGTGCATGAGCTCCGTTCTCTGTTAAGGCAAAGCTCTTGCTCTGCTGAGTCAGCCAGGGTTGCTTCATGACCAACAGTAATTCATTCCTGGGCAAGTGGAACTTCTCTAAAACACCTCGCCCTCATCAAATGTTCCCTACCCTTCCCTCTCTCAAGCCCCCAGGAATTTATCCTCCAGTTAGGAATGCAGGCAGAACAAACATTGCATTTTTCCTGAGAAGGATGTCAGATTGCCAATCATTTTTCTAGCTTGTAGGAGATCTCAGCTCCATAAAATGAGAGATTAAGAGATTTCACTGAGCCCTGTTTTGGGTCCAGATCCCTTTCGCTGTTGGAGTATCTGGAGTTCGGAGATGGTAGAAGACAGGCGTACAATGTCAGAGCTGTGAGATGCTGAGTCAACGCCTGAATCCAAGGTTTCCACCTCCCCAGGTTTCCAAAAGCGGATATAAGAGGGTTCTGTACTCACCGGTTTTGGAGCTTGGTTCAGTGGGTGAAGGCCAACTATTTGAAGGGTTTCCTAGAACACGAGACAGGAGAGAGGTGAGGAAATGAGGGTGTCTGTCCTCTACTCAGTGGAAATCTTTGAGGTTGGTTCATGGCCAACACTCTGTTATCTAATATTGGGCCCTGGTAGTCCTGGGATCCTTTTTTCCGTAATTTTTGTATGTGACGGCTACTGTCTTGAGACTTCAAGGTATAAAGAGAAAACAGGAGCATCACACTACCTGATCTCAAAATATGTTACAGAGCTGTAGTAAGCAAGACAGCATGACGTTGGCATGAAGAAAGGCACATAGAACAACGGAGCAGAATGAATAACACAGATATAATCCATGCATTTACCTCCAATGTATTTTTTGTTTTTCTTTTGAGATGGAGTCTTGCTCTGTCACCCAGGCTGGAGTGCAGAGGTGCAATCTCGGTTCACTGCCACCACAGCCTCCTGGGTTCAATCACTTCTCTGGCCTCAAACTCCTGAGTAGTGGTATTATAGGTGTTGACCACCATGCTCAGCTAATTTTTATATTTTTAGTGGAGACGATGTTTCATCACGTCGGCCAGAGTAATCTTGTACTCCTGTCCTCAGGTGATCCACCAGCCTTGGCCTCCCAAAGTGCTGAAGTTGCTGGTGTTAGCCACCATGCCCAGCCCATCCAATGGACTTTGACAAAGGTGCCAAGAACTCACAATCAGGAAAGGACAGTCTTTTCAATAAACAGTGCAGGGAAACCTGGACATCTACATGCAGAGGAATGAAACTGCACCTCTGCCTGTCACTATACACAAAAATCAAATGAAAATGGATTAAAGATGTGAGTCTAAGGCCTGAACCTATGAAACACGTAGAAGAAAATATTGGGGAAATGCTCCAGGACGTTTGTCTGAAGGAAGACATTTTGTTTTAAACCTTCAAAACACAAGTAATCGAAGCAAAAATAGACCATTGGGATTACCTCAAACTAAGCAACTTCTGCACCGCTAAAAATAAACCAACAAAGTGAAGAGACAACCCACAGATTGGGAGCAAATATGTGCAAACTATGCATCTGAGATGGGATTAATAACTAGAAATATAAGAAGCTCAAACAACTCAATAAAACAAATGATTTAATTGAAACAGGAGCAAAAGACATGAAATTTCCCCACATACGAAAAAGTGCTCAGTATCACTCATCATCAGAGAAACGCAAATTAAAATCAAAGTGAGTTTTCATCTCACCCCATTAAAATGGCTTTTAGGCCGGGCGTGGTGGCTCACGTCTGTCATCCTAGACCTTTGAGAGCCTGAGGTGGGTGAATCTCATAAGGTCGGGAGTTTGAGACCAGTCTGACCCACATGGAGAAACACTGTCTCTACTAAAAATACAAAAATTAGTCGGGCGTGGTGGCGTGTGCCTGTAATTCCAGCTACTCGGGAGGCTGAGGCAGGAGAATCGCTTGAACCTGGGAGGTGGAGGTTGTGGTGAGCCGAGATCGCACCACTGCACTCAGCCTGGGTGACAAGAGCGAAACTCCATCTCAAAATAAAATGAAATAAAATAAAATGGCTTTTAGCTGCAAGACAGGCAAAAGAAATGCTGGCAAGGTGTTAGAGAAAGGAGAATCCTGGTATCCTGTTGGGAGGAGTGTAAATTAGTACAGCCATTACGGAGAAAAGTGTGGAAGTCCTTTAAAGAACTAAAAAGAGGTTGGGTGAGGTGGATCATGCCTGTAATCCCGGCACTTTGGGAGACCGAGGCGGGCACCTCAGTTGAGGTCATGAGTTTGAGAGCAGCCCAGCCAACATGGGGAAACCGCATCTATACTAAAAAAAACAAAAAGTAGCCAGGCATGGTGGCGTGCGCCTATAATCCCTGATACTAGGGAGGCTGAGGCAGGAAAATCATTTGAACCCAGGAGGCAGAGGTTGCAATGAGCCAAGATGACATCACTTGTACTCCAGCCTGGGCACAGAGGGAAACTGTCTCAAAAACAAAAACAAAACAACAAACGAAAAACTAAAAAGAGAACTTTCATAGTATCCAGCAATTTCACTACTGGGTTTATATCCAAAGGAAAGTAAATCAATATATCGAAGTGATATCTGCACTCGTATGATTGGTGCAGCACTCTTCACAGTAGCCAAGATGAGGAGTCAACCTACCTGCCCATCAGTGGGTGAATGGATAGAGAGAATGTGGTACATTTGCATAGTGGAGACTACTCTTCCATAGAAAGAAAAACATCCTGATATTTGCAGCCACATGGATGGAACTGGAGGTCATTACAAAGATTCCCATTTCTTACCCATATACAGGAGCTAAAAGGTGGATCTCATGAAGGTAGAGAGTAGAATGGTGGCTACCAGAGGCCAGGAAGAAAAGGGTGGAGGGTAAAAAAAAATATGTGTATATATATATATATTAATGTATTTATGACCACTAGACTTTACACTTAAAAATGGTAAATGTGGCTGGGCGTGGTGGCTCATGCCTGTAATCCCAGCACTTTGGGAGGCTGATGCGGGTGGATCACGTGGTCAGGAGTTCGAGACCAGCTTGACCAACATGGTGAAACCCCCTCTCTACTAAAAATACAAAAAGTAGCCTGGCATGGTGGTGCGCGCCTGTAGCACCAGCTACTCAGGTGGCTGAGGCAAGAGAATCGCTTGAACCCAGGAGGCGGAAGTTGCAGTGAGCTGAGATTGTGCCAATGCACTCCAGCATAGGGGACAGAGCTAGACTCCGCCTCAAAAAAAAAATGTTAAAGGTGGTAAGCTATATAGGTATATTTATCCTCAATAAATATTTCTCAAACAAAAGTAAAGGGTGTAGGGGTTGCAGGTGATGACATCCCTGTGTGGGTGGGAGGCCAGGATGGGCTTCTGGGAAATGGGTAATGTTGAGGGGCTGAGGGAACCTCTGATCTTCCCAAACTGAGCCCAGTCTCCCTCCTCTGGGTCTCTCCTGACCGCTTTCTCCATCTGCCTGGGTGCCTGGAGTCCTGGCCGCAGGCCTTCATGCAGGCCATGTAGGAGGGTTTGGAGGTGCCCTGTCTGCCATCCTGTGCCCTGATCCCTCCCTCACACCCAAGCTTCGTCTTCTCTCTTCATCTGTTCATCCTTCTCTCCATCCTCAGCAGGAAGCTCCTCAGCTAAGGCTCTAGGATCATAGGACATGGGACAGCCATGGGCTTTCCTCACCTGTGACAGAAACAAGCAGTGGGTCACTCGAGTTTGACCACTCGTAGGGAGAGTCACGGAAAGAGCCGAAGCATCTGTAGGTTCCTCCGTGGGTGGCAGGGCCCAGAGGAAAGTCAGCCTGGAATGTTCCGTTGACCTTGGGCCCTGCAGAGAACCTACGTTCATGGGCCTCCCCCTCCCTGGATAGATGGTACATGTCATAGGAGCTCCGGGAGCTGCAGGACAAGGTCACGCTCTCTCCTGCCAGAACCGTGGGGCCCGGCTGGGCTGAGAGAGAAGGTTTCTCATATAGACCTGGAAGGAGAAGAGGCATTTTCCTTACGGAGGATCTTCCTTGTCACAGCTCCCTTCACCTGAGCTGAGAACTCACTCCCCTGCTCTATGACCTAATGCTCTCTCTCTCTCTCTCTCACCCTCCACCCCATCTCTCTTCATGTCTATTTCCTCCTTCCACCTTCTCTGTCTCTCTAGGTCTCTGACCTCGCTTCCACACCTCTAGATATGTTTTCCCTTTTTGGATTGTTTTATTCTCTCTGACTCTCCTTGGATTGGTTGACTTGATGTTACTTTTTTAAATTCTAAGTTTCTCACTTTGTGTCCTGTTCATAACTTTCTGCATATTTCTATCTATTATCTGTCGATCTATCTATTTATCTATTCGGTGCCTATCTACAAATTCTCTACCTGTCATCTATATCTATATATCATCTATGTATCTATCACTTGTCTATCTATCCATCAATCATCTGTTATCTATATCTATGTATCATCTCTCTCTCTATGACTTCTGTCTGCCTCTCTATCTCTATGTATTATCTATCTGTCTTCATCATCATCATCTCTATGTCTCATCTATTAATGAATCAATCAATCATCATCTATGTATCTTTAACCTATTATCTATCATCTACCTATTTATCATCTATCTATATCTAACCTTCTATCATCTGTCTTGCTCTGCCTCTCGGTCTCTCTAGTTCTCTTTGGAATCTCTGCAATTCATCCCCACATCTCCATCTTTCTATGTCCTTGTGCCTCTCCCTCAGGAGTCTAATTTTAGTGCTTTTCTCTGCTCCCTTCCATCATTCTCACCACTCCTCTGCCCTCTTTTCTCTCTCTTTATGTGTCTGTGAGTCTCTCAATCTCCTTCCTCTGGCTCATTCTCTGTGTGTTTATGTCTTTGCTTTTTGGTGTCCCTGATTTCTCTCTGTGCCTCTCAGTGATCCTTTCATATGTGGGGTTATTTGGAATGTGAGCCTCAGAATCCAGTCTGGAGACCACAAGTTCACACAGCATACAGGAGTTGGTGTTCTGGGGCCATGATATCCTGGGACGGTTACTCTCCATTACATGGAAGGCAGAGGTGTCAGAATAAACACGGCATCTGTAGGTGCCACAAGGCCTGAGGCCACAGGGCCCAACTCAGGTCAGAAATATGGGTGTCCTTGGGTTCTCCTGGTAGAGAACACTTTGTGGAGGTAAAACAGAAATGAAACTTCTAACCTGTGCCAGGTCTCTGAGCAAAGTCAGCATGGAGGGACACCTCTCTCTGGGACATGTCTGTCTGTCTGTCTCCTTTAACTCCTTCTGTCTTTTCTAACTCCCGGTATGGCCCCTGTGTCTGTCCTCTGTTATGACACCTGGTCTGTACTTGTGTCTCCTGTTTCTCTGTCTCTGTTGGTACAGACCTCACCAAGTCAGTCTCTCTCCATAAGAATACCAAGCTCATCTTCCTTACAACTACCTGGGGGTTCCAAGTCGTGGATCATTCACTCTGCATCCCAATGACAATGAGAAGAATGTCCGGACACTCTCACCTGTGATGACGATGTCCAGAGGGTCACTGGGAGCTGACAACTGATGGGGGAGTGAGTAACAGAACCGTAGCATCTGTAGGTCCCTGCCAGGTCTTCCATCATGGGACCGATGGAGAAGTTGGCCTTGGAAACCCCATCATGGTGCTCTCCAGTGAGGTGCAAAGTGTCGTTAAACTTCCCTTCTCTGTGCAGAAGGAAGTGCTCAAACCTGACATCTGACCAACATTGCAGGATGACTGTCTCTTCTGATTTCACCAGGGGACCTGGGTGGGCCAGGAGGGAAGGTTTTCTGTGGACTCCTAGGAAGAGAGGTTGTGAGTTTAGAAGGTGTCTCTCTTTATCATCCCATCCATGGCACCTAGAATGAGTGAGGCTTCCCCTTGCTGGTGTCTGTCTCTCTCCTTCCTCTCTGTGTCTTCATGTTCTTTTCTGTGCCCATAACTCCTGGTGCAGGTCCTTCCATCTGTCTCCCTCACTCTTCTCTGTCCCTCTGTCTCTAGTCGCCTCTGATTCCCTTCCCACTGGGCTTAGCCTCATCTCTTGGGGTGTTGTATCTATTTCACACTAATGTCTTTCCTGCTGTTTATGTGGGGGTGAAAGAGGAACCAGGATAGGCTGCACATCCAGCCTCTTATCAGCCTGGTTCAATCTCTTTTGGATGAATTGGAATCCTTGGCAGTAGGTATGAACTGATGAATAAGGCAGGCACCAGTGTCCACACACCCTGTTCCTGGTCGGGACTGGGAGCCACTCTTGCCATGCCTGTGCCTTCTCCATGGTGCCAGCTTCCATAGGCTGGCTCCTGGTGCTGGTTTGAGGAGTATCAACCCCTCCCTATGTGGATGGAGCCTGGTGGTGGCATCATCATCCCACACTTGCTCATCTCGGTGTAGCCAACCTTCCCCTTGTTTGGTTCCTTTAATTAATTAATTAATTATGGAGACAGAGTCTCACTCCTTCACCCCAGCTGGAGTGAAGTGGTGTGGTCTAGGGTCACTGCAACCTCTGTCTCCTGGGTTCAAGTGATTCTCCTGCCCTCAGCCTCCCAAGTCGCTAGGATTACATGCGCCTGCCACCACACCCGGCTATCCTTGTGTTGTTTCTTACCTTGTCCTTGACCTGGGTTCCAGTGTTGGTTTCCTGTTGCTGCTGTAGAAAATTATCAGAAGCATGGCAGCAGGAGAGAGCACACTGACCCATTTCACTACTGGAGACAGAAATAGGACCCTGTTTTTCCTGGGCTAAAATCAAGGCATCTGCAGGGCTTCGTTCCCTCTGGAGACTCTGGAGAATCATTTCCTTGACTTTTCCAACCTCTACAGGCCACCTGCATTCATGGCTCCTGGCCTTCCTCCACCTTCAAAGCTGGTGGAGTCTCCCATTGCGCTGCTCTAATCCCCACTCCCCTCTTCCTCCTCCTTTCATGTGGACCCTTGTGATTACACTGAGCCCAGCGGGACAGTCCAGGCTGTCTCCCCATCTCAAGGTCAACTCATCAACAACCTGAGCTCCATCTTCCCCTTCAGTTCCTTCCCCTATAACATAAATAGTCACAGACTCCAGGGATTAGAATGTAGTCATCACTGGGGACAATTATTCTTCCCACCACAGCACCCATTTCCCTGTATTCAATCCCCCTTTACCCCAAATATAGTCAGGGCCTGGGTGATGGGACCCTCAAGGACACGCCCACCAGAAGCTCTGGGATTCAGGAGGTGGGAAAGGAGAATCCAAGACAGGAGCCCTCTGACCTGTGGCCATGATCACCAGGGGGTTGCTGGGTGCCGACCACCCACTGGGGTAGTGTGGGTGTGAACCCCGACATCTGTACGTCCCTGTGTGTGCTGGGGTCACAGGGCCCATGAAAAGGCTCTTCCAGAATATTCTGTTGTAGAGCTCAGTGCCAGGCACCCCATCTTCCTTTTACAGACTGAAGTTGTTAAACCCAAGATAAGAATGACACCGAAGAATCACATGTCCTGGAGGCACCACAGAGCTGGGCCAGGCAGACAGCAAGGGCTTGTCCTGACCACCTTGGGGAGAAGGAGGCACCGCCTTAGAGAGGAGGATGTGGAGCCACCCCTCCCTCCCTGTGCTCTGAAGATTCTCCTCGCTTTCCAAGTTTCTATGGCTGCTATCACACCTTGGTGCCCAGGGCTAAAGGAAGGACCCATCCCGCAAACACAAGGTGTCTCCCTACAACAAAAGTGTCAGCTGAGAACTTTGAGCAAGTGCTGAGTAAGAGACTCCTACTAGATTTTAATACTGTAAGATTACTCACATAAAACAACACAGGGTAGACATGGGGTGGAGGGCATGTCTTTGAGAATGGAATATCAGCAGATGCCTGAATGAAAATAAGCAACTGAGCCCCCATCAGAGGATTTGGAATGTCAGGGCCATGGCTGTGGTTTCCCACCTCTTCTGGTGGAGTGACAGCAGCCACACTGCAGCCCCTACCGTCATGGAAACGCTGAAGTGTGAGTAACACCTTTGTCCTCAGAGGATCTGCTGTTCCTACCACTTCCCCACCACGCACCCCAGCTTTGAGCACCCCAGTCTAACCCTGGTCCCCACAGAACTTGACTCTGCCAAGGGAATGAAAGGCCAGGGAGGCGAGGTCGGAACTGTGGGCCGAGCACCCCAGGGTCCCCTCTTCCTAGTTTATGAGAGGCTCCCTGACAGGACTTCCCTCCTGTTTCAGGAAAATCCTCTTATGTGGGGAGATGACACCCGAAGGTTTGGAGAAGGACTCACCCTCATGTGGCCAGGCCCCCTGCAGCAAGAAGAACCCTGGAAAGAAAGATCATGATGGACCATCCATCTGCAGGCAAACCAGGACTCCCTTGCTGCCCTCACTGGGCTGTGAGTCTTGGTAGGCAGGCCCTTCCTGGACTGAAGTTAAACTCACCCTCAGTGCCTACCTGCACCCAAGAACAGGGCTGTCGGTTGTGCAGAGACCCAGCCTCCAAGCCCAGATCCCCACCACAAGCCCATATCCCCACCACAAGCCCATATCTCCACTCCAGGCCAATATTTCCACCCTAGGCCTGTATCTCCACTCCAGGCCCATATCTCCACTCCAGGCCGATATTTCCATCATAGGCCCATATCGCCAATCCAGGCCCATATCGCCAATCCAGGCCAAGATCTCCACTGTAAGCCCATATCTCCAATCCAGGCCCATATCTCCACTCCAGGCTCAGATCTCCACCCTAGGCCCATATCTCCAATCCAGGCCCATATCTCCACACCAGGCCCATATCTCTACTGAAGGCCAGTAACTCCACCTCCAGGCCCATATCTCCACTCCAGGCCCAGATCTCCACCCCAAGCCCATATCTCCACCCCAGGCCCATATCTCTACTGAAGGCCCGTAACTCCACCTCCAGGCCCATATCTCCACCCCAGGCCCAGATCTCCACCCCAAGCCCATATCTCCACTCTAGGCCCATATCTCCTCTCCAGTCCCATATCTCCACAACCAGGCCCATATCTCCATCCTAGGCCCATATTTCCACTCTAGGCCCAGATATCCACCTCTAGGCCCATATCTCCACTCCTGGCCCAAATCTCCACTCCAGGCCCATATCTCTACTATAGGCCTATAACTCCACCTCCAGGCCCATGTCTCCACTCCAGGCTCCTATCTCCCCTCCAGGTTCCTATCGGCACTCCAGGCCCAGATCTCCACTTCTAGGCCCATCACTCCATCTCTAGGCCCATATATCCACTCCAGGCCCAGATCTCCACTCCAGGCCCACAACTCCACCTCCAGGCCTATATCTCCACCTCTGGGCCCAGATCTCCAACCCCACACTCCCTTCCTCTATTCCCTTCCAGGACTCACCAACACACGCCACGCTGACGACCGTGAGCGACATGGTGCTGCCGGTGCAGACAGGCGGCCGCGCCCCAGCTCAGCTCAGCAGCGCACAGGATGTTATTTGGCGCCCTGCCCATGCAGTTTACATGTTGACCACATCATGGGAGGGTGACGTACGCAGGCTCATTCTACCTTGCATGAGGCCCAGTGGGTGCTCGCTCAAGAGCGGAACACGGCTTCCTGGAAATTGTTCTCACTAGAATTTACACCTAGCGTCCTTCACTATGACCAACTCAAAACACGTCTCAGATCCAACCTCCTGAACACGAGATGCCTAAAATCTGTGCTAACGTGAAAGACTTTTCATGTATTTTTATTGTTTTTATCTGAGATTCAAACTCTTCTTCATGTGTAATATGCAAAATATCTAATAGGTATTATTAAGGTTTTCAGAGTCATTGTGACTAATAAACCATTAGAATTTTTCATGCTTGTATTTCTAGTATTACAGCAGAACCAGTTAAAATGATTTAAATTCCCAGGGAAGGATTATGCAATTATTTACAATCTTAGAATTGTACTTTATCAGCAAAAACCACACCTGTAAATTCTGGAGTTTTGTAGTTTAATCTAAAATTTGTCTCATGACCCAAGATTCCAGAGTCCCAACTCTGGAGTTTGATCTCTCTCTGTCTCTCTGCCTCCCTCATTTTAAATTTTACAGAAATATCCAGTAACATAATGCTATAGAAAATCAAGTTTCCCCAGCACGTCGGGAAGCCGAGGTGGGCGGATCAACTGAGATGAGGGGATTGAGAGCAGCCTGGCCAACATAGTGAAACCGTGTCTCTGCTAAAAATCCAAAAATTAGCCATGCCTGGTGGCAGGCACCTGTAACGCCAGCTACTCAAGAGGCTGAGGCACGAGAATCGCTTGAACCTGGGAGGCGGAGGTTGCAGTGAGCTGAGATTGTGTCACTGCAGTCCAGCCTGGGCGACAGAGCAAGACTCCGCCTCAAGAAAAAAAAAAGCAAATAGCCTATAATAACAAATTAGAGGGCTCTGGCTACTAAATTTAAAGGGTTCTATAAGGCTACATAAAGTGTAGCATCATCAAGAGTGTGGACACAGACAGCCCCTTAGCAGAAACTGTCTAAAATACATCCATGTACACACAGTCCCTTTAGAGTTGACAAAGGCTGCCGTGTGGTTTAAGGTGGCATAGAATGTCTTCTCAATAAATAATATTAAACCAATGGGTTACACCTAGTAAAAAATAAATCTAACTCACACTATAAAAACACTTCTTAGTTTTTATCTAGTTGTACATTTTTTGATTTATATTTAAATTTGAGAAATAAAAGTCATATACGGTCATCCTTCACTATTCGTGGGTGATTGGTTTCGAGATCTCCACTCAGATACCAAAATCTGTAGATGCTCAAGCCTCTTATATGAAATGGCACAGCGCTTGCAAATAACATATGCACATCCTCCTGTATACATGAAATCATCTCTTGATTACTTATAATTCCTGATACAGCCTACACACAGCTTCATTTGTGTCCATTCAACATAGTTATGAGTTTTGGAACTCTGTGGATATTTTCTCTGAATATTTTTGATTTATACTTTGTTCAATAAAGACCTGTAAACCCCACAGATACGGAGGAGTGACCGTATATTTATAGTATGAAAGATGATGTGTTGATATGTGTCCCCATGGAGATGAGACTAACAAGGCCTATGACTCTACAAATGTTTCATTGTGGAATGACTCTGCCAGCTTTCCAGGTCTGCAGAGAGTAACAATGTCACTTGTTCATGTGATTCCCGATCCTTGGAACCTCCTATGTGCTGCATATTTGGATGGAAATTGGAGTCCCAGAGACAAATGAGGCTCCACACTGCTTCCAGAAGCTCAGAGTCCAGAGGTGAGAACCCGGTGGAGAACAGATGGGATTATATGGACATGGTACTGATAACACCGGAAGCCTTAGGCAAGAAAAGAGTCCCATTACCTAAACCATGAGGGCAGACATGTTTATTTGAAGGAGGGAAAACTACATTGAAATTATTTTAAAAAATATATAAGTTTTACTGCTGACAGAAGGCTGAAAGCTAGTCTGAGGGGAGGTGGAACAGCATGAGGGAAGGTGGAACAGCACGTGTCTAAGTGCCGTGTTAAGAGGGAGCCTCTTGTATGTTTGGAATTGTGAGTTCCTCAGTGTGATTGCAGCCTCAAGTAGACTAGGAAGTAAGCCAGTTAGGTTGGAGAGGTGGGCAGGGGTCAAGTGAAATGGAGAATTGTGGGCTAAGCAAAGGAGTGTGTTTTCTCTCCAGCAGGCAGTGGGGACCTTAGACATTTGTAAGCAAGAGAGAGGCACGTTCAGATTTGTGGTGTGAGGAAGAGCGATGCCCTAAGATGCAGACTCACGCCTTCAGATTCCAGCTGCTGGTACATTGGAGCTGGCAACCCAGTTTTGAGACAGGGCTGTTGTCTCCCTAGAAGATCCCCTCAAGGCCTGACTGTGGTGCTCATGGGCAGGAGACAACTTTGGATCAGGGCTCAGCATTTGGAAGTTCCGTGTACACGATGATATCTGTTGGGGGTGTCTTGGGCCTCTGAGAAGGGTGAGTGATTTTTCTCTGTGTGAAAACGCAGTGATTCAACTGTGCATATGTCACCTCCTGAGGGTCTTGTTCATCAGAGTCCTGGAGAGAGGGAAATCCTGAGTGAGGGAGGGTGCTCACATTTTCCAGGACTCTTTGGGAATAACACTAGCCACGAGGCTGGGCCGAGGAGCACCTACCTCCCTGTTCACTGTTCTGTTCCCTGCAGGCTCTTGGTCCATTACAACAGCATCTGTAGAAGACGGAAGTCAACAAAACAGCTCAGAGGGCACTTCTGGGTCCTCATTTCATAAGCAGATACCAACATACAGGGGGAGACCATAGGAGCCTGAGGTCCCTCAGTTGCCAACAGCAGACTCAGACATTCTATCTCTCTGAGCTCAAGGACCCATCCCATGAATAGCTCTGAGTTCCCATCCCATTGATTCTGTCTCCCACTTTCTGCCTGTCATGGAACCTTCTCCTGGATGTGAGTGGCTGCAGGGGACATGAGGATACAGTTCAGAATCAGGCAATGGTCTGTGAGCTGAAGGCAGGGACAGGGAGTCTGGTGCTCTCTCTAGAAAGTCCTCCCTCTGTGGCTGCTGCCTTGGGCCAGGGACCATCCTGTCTGTGAGGAACACACACCTGAGTGCTCCCATCCTGCTTCCCCACATGGCCCTGAGCTCTCTGGCCTCTGCTTCGTGAGACTTACTTTTTTTGTTGCAGCACCAGCGATGAAGGAGAAAGAAGAGGAGGAGGATGAAGAGGATGATGACCACTGAGGTCCCAATCAGAACATGCAGGTGTCTGGGGTTACCTGGAAGAAGAGGAGACACCAATAAGAAGCTAATCATAGCAGTTCCTCTTTATGAATTGTCTCACATTTCTTGATTGACAGGTAACCACATACAACACCCCTTTAGGACAAGCACCCAGATGGAGGGAGACCCAGCTTTCTCCTGCTTTCTCAGTTATAGCTCTCATAGTAACCATAGAACGTGTTGAGGATACAACTACTTTAGTTGAGATGTTTGACCCCTTCAAACCTCACATTGAAATTTCACCCCCACTGTGGGAGGTTGGGCCTCTTGAGAGGTGTTTGGGTCATGGAGGTGGATCCATCATGAACAGACCAATGCTGTCCCAAGGAGACGGGGTTAGCAAGTTCCCCTTCTATTAGTTCCTGGAGAGCTGGTTGTTCAAAAGAGCTTGGAAGCTCCATCGCTCCCCCTCCCCCTTGCTCCCTCTCTTGCCGTGTGATCTCTGTGGTCTCTGCACAGACAGACCCTCCTTCCCTTCTGCCAGAGTGGGAGCAGCCTGAGGCCGTCACGAGAAATAGATGCTGGTGCCACGCTTCCAGTATAGCCTGCAGAACTGTGAGGCAAACCAATCTCTTTTCTCTAGAAGTTACCCAGGCTCAAGTGTTCCTTTAGAGCAACAAAAATGGACTAAGACAGCAACGTCCTGAGATCAGGAGGAACGTCTCAGAACAGCCTGGGCTGTCTTCCTGTTCTTCCTGGAGGAGGACGTCATGCAGTGCTTTAGCTGAGTGCTTCCTGTGGCTCCACAGTACAAAACCCAGGCTGGGCTGCTCTCTGGCTTCCCCCAGCTACACTGCAAATGGGGTGACTCCATATGTCCCGAGGAGCTTTTCTGAGCCTTGAGGGACTGGCTCACATTGAAATGTAGGTTTCTGTTGTCACTCGCTGCTTATCTGTTAGTAATGAACCTGCCTGTGTAATGTATTCTCTGTGTGTTCTGTCTCCCTGGAGTGACGGTGAGTGATAGGAATTGGCATAAGCCCAGGTGCAGTCCAGGAGGTATTTAGAGTCTTCTCTGGGAAGACTGCACTGGGATTGATACACAGCGAATGTGCTTTAGGATTTCTACATCCACAGCATTCTTGAATCAAACAACTTGCATTCTCCAAGAAAAGGAAACAAAAGTGAAATCAAGATAAAAAAAGCTAAGTAGAATTCTCTTATGTCAAATGGCCAGGAAATAGTGTTGAAGCCCGTGTGAAACGTGCTACTCTTTGTGATCTCGGGAGACACATATTAGGCTGCTGTTCTACCCGAGAGGCTGGGGGAAGGACCACCCCCTCGGCCATCTATTGCTTCAATACCACCTGTCCTCCTGTGAATTAGTAGGAAAGGGGAGCAGGAGCTAGTGCTGGCACTGATCTCTGATTCCAAGATCTGGACTCACTCCAAGGAGTATCAATGTTTACCTCCCCATAGCCTATCTGAATCTCCACAGGTGATTGGAAGTAGGGGTGAGGTGGGGGATTTGGGTGAGTGGGCAAGTTTTTTGTTGCGACGAACAGAGCACTTTCTCTATTCCACGATCTGTGCTGGAGGATTCTGAGGGCTTTCACATTTTCTATGTGATCTCATTCTCACAGAAAGCCAAATAGGGAAGAGGTTTTAAGCTCATTGCCTAATGGATAAGATAAAGGATCAAAGAAGTAATTATAGAGAAATAGAAAAACGATGATTGGAATTCAGGTGCCTTTGTCATTCGTGTGTGTTTTATTATATTTATGTATTTCTTATTTTTATTTTTTGAGATAGAGTCTCCTTGTGTCCCCCAGGCTGGAGTGCAGTGATGCAATCTCCACTCACTGCAACCTCCACCTACTGGGTTGAAGTCGTTCTCCTGCTTCATCCTCCAGAATAGGAGCTGGGATTACAGGGATGCACCATCGTGCTCGGCTAATTTTTGTATTTTTAGTAGAGATAGGGTTTCACCACGTTGGCCAGGCTGGTCTGGAACTCCTGACTTCATGGAATCCACCCACCTTGGCCTCCTGCAGTGCTAGGTTACAGGCGTGAGCCACTGTTCACAGACTTGTATATTATGCTATAATAAGTCTCTTCATTTCCACCACCACTCATATATCTGTCACTCCTTTGCCAGGTATTGATTTATGTGTAGGATGAATAAATCTCAGAAAGAAATTAATTAAGCGAGGATTAAACAAGTAGGAAAATCAAACCCAGTAAGCCTTTCCAGTCAATGATTCTACCTCACAAACATATCTTATATCCATCTACTTCATTCATTTAGTGTCTAAATCAGCACCACATTTAACCAGTGGGTCGGCACTTGCCTTTTCCACGGTCTCCTAGATTCCAGTTATGCAACTGAGCCTCCCTTATTTTCATGTCCGTCATATTAATCATGTAGGGATTCCTGGTTACCCCGAGGTGAATCCAATGGCTGTGAGTGTCAAACACACACTCCTTGTTGCTCCTTAGTTTCCTGTGTACCCAGTGTGCTCTCCGTCTCCCTACAGTCGTCTTGTCATTCTCCCCACCTCATTCCCAGCATTTGAGGCAGAGCCTCTTCCTTCCACATCAGATTGTTTTCACCTTTGTGCCTTCACGGCTGACAGCTGTGTGTGCAAAATCCTTCCGCCAATCTTTCAGGGGTTCAATCCGTGTTTTTCATTAATGTCACAAATATCTGAATAGTGAGACCTTCTTTGTCACCTGAAATCATACACTCAGCATTATCTATTATTGATTTTGAATTCTGGCTGGGCACAGTGGCTCACGCCTGTAGTCCCATTACTTTGGCATGCTGAGACGGTCGGATCACTTGAGGTTGGGAGTTTCAGACAAGCTTGGCCAACGTGGTGAAACATCCTTTCTACAAAAAATATACAAAAAGAATTAGCCGGGCACGGTGGCAGTTGCCTGTAATCCCAGCTACTCGAGAGGCGGAGGCAGGAGAATCACTTGAATCCAGGAGACGCAGGTTGCAGTGAGCCAAGATCGTGACACTGCACTGTAGCCTGGAAGACAGAGGGCGACTCTGTCTCAATAAACAAAAGAACAAACAAAAAATAGATTTCATGCACAGATGCTTCCCAATGGATCATTCATTTATAGATCCACTTGTGCATTCATTTTCTGCCCTCCCATTTAACCATCTGCAATATCAGTGTCCCAAGGGCAGAGGCCAAATGCATCTTGTTCACCGTTTGTGGAAGGCAGGAGAATGCTGTCCCACCCCAAAATGTCCCTGTCCTAGCCTCCATAGCTTGTGAATATGTTATTTTACATGGAAAGGAGGAATGAAGATTGTAGATGGAATTGCGGTTGCTAATCAGCTGAACTTAAAACAAGGGTATCCTGGATGATTTCCAGGAGATTATGAGGGATTTTCATCTTGGTGAACCCAATAGAATCCCCAAGTTTTCAAAAGATAAGGAAGAAGGGAGAGCAGCATTCAGAGAAAGAGGTGTGGTAAGGAAGAAGGCACTGAGTGATGCCATGTGAGATGTGACCAGTCTTTGTGGGTTTTGAGGAAGGAGGAAGGGGAACAGGAGCCAAGGAACTGGGAGCCTTTAGAAGCTGGGATAAGTGAGAAGCAGATTCTTGCCTGGAATCCTCAGAGGGAAGGCAGCCTTGCTGTCACCTTGATTTTAGCCCAGTAAGATGCACTTCCTACTTTGAGCTACAGCACTGTAAGATAATTAAAAAACCGTTTTGTTTTCACCCACGAATCTTGTGGAAATTTGTTATGGCAACAATAGGAAAAGGTTCCGCACTGCACAGCCTGAGCATGGGGCCGTGGCTGAATGAGTCAGTGAGTCGAAGTGTGCGTGCATGAGCTCCGTTCTCTGTTACGGCAAGGCTGTTGCTCTGCTGAGTCAGCCAGGGTTGCTTCATGACCAACAGTAATTCATTCCTTGGCAAGTGGAACTTCTCTAAAACACCTCGCCCTCATCAGATGTTCCCTTCCCTTCCCTCTCTCAAGCCCCCAGGAATTTATCCTCCAGTTAGGAATGCAGGCAGAACAAACATTGCATTTTTCCTGAGAAGGATGTCAGATTGGCAATCATTCTTCTAGCTTGTAGGAGGTCTCAGCTCCATAAAATGAGAGATTAAGAGATTTCACTGAGCCCTAGGTTGGGCCCAGATCCCTTTCGCTGTTGGAGTATCTGGAGTTCGGAGATGGTAGAAGACAGGCGTACAATGTCAGAGCTGCGAGATGCTGAGTCAATGCCTGCATCGAAGGTTTCTACCTCCCCAGGTTTCCAAAAGCGGATATAAGAGGGTTCTGTACTCACCGGTTTCGGAGCTTGGTTCAGTGGGTGAAGGCCAACTATTTGAAGGGTTTCCTAGAACATGAGACAGGAGAGAGGTGAGGAAATGAGGGTGTCTGTCCTCTACTCAATGGAAATCTTTGAGGTTGGTTCATGGCCAACACTCTGTTATCTAATATTGGGCCCTGGGAGTCCTGGGATCCTTTTTTCCGTAATTTTTGTATGTGACGGCTACTGTCTTGAGACTTCAAGGTATAAAGAGAAAACAGGAGCATCACACTACCTGATCTCAAAATATGTTACAGAGCTGTAGTAAGCAAAACAGCATCACATTGGCATAAAGAAAGGCACGTAGAACAATGGAGCAGAATGAAGAACACAGATATAATCCATGCATTTACCTCCAATGTTTTTTTCTTTTTTCTTTTGAGATGGAGTCTCGCTCTGTCGCCCAGGCTGGAGTGCAGAGGTGCAATCTCGGTTCACTGCCACCACAGCCTCCTGGGTTCAATCAATTCTCTGGCCTCAAACTCCTGAGTAGTGGTATTACAGGTGCTGACCACCATGCTCAGCTAATTTTTATATTTTTAGTGGAGACAATGTTTCATCACGTCGGCCAGACTAATCTTGAACTCCTGGCCTCAGGTGATCCACCCGCCTTGGGCTCCCAAAGTGCTGAAATTGCAGGTGTCAGCCACCATGCCCAGCCCATCCAATGGACTTTGACAAAGGTGCCAAGAACTCACAATCAGGAAAGGACAGTCTTTTCAATAAACAGTGCAGGGAAACCTGGACATCTACATGCAGAGGAATGAAACTGCACCTCTACCTGTCACTATACACAAAACTCAAATGAAAATGGATTAAAGATGTGAGTCTAAGGCCTGAACCTATGAAACACGTAGAAGAAAATATTGGGGAAATGCTCCAGGACATTTGTCTGAAGGAAGACATTTTGTTTTAAACCTTCAAAACACAAGTAATCGAAGCAAAAATAGACCATTGGGATTACCTCAAACTAAGCAACTTCTGCACCGCTAAAAATAAACCAACAAAGTGAAGAGACAACCCACAGATTGGGAGCAAATATGTGCAAACTATGCATCTGAGATGGGATTAATAACTAGAAATATAAGAAGCTCAAACAACTCAATAAAACAAATGATTTAATTGAAACAGGAGCAAAACACATGAAATTTCCCCACATACTAAAAAGTGCTCAGTTTCACTCATCATCAGAGAAACACAAATTAAAATCAAAGTGAGTTTTCATCTCACCCCATTAAAATGGCTTTTAGGCCGGGCGTGGTGGCTCACGTCTGTCATCCTAGACCTTTGAGAGCCTGAGGTGGGTGAATCTCATAAGGTCGGGAGTTTGAGACCAGTCTGACCCACATGGAGAAACACTGTCTCTACTAAAAATACAAAATTTAGTTGGGCGTGGTGGCGTGTGCCTGTAATTCCAGCTACTCGGGAGGCTGAGGCAGGAGAATCGCTTGAACCTGGGAGGTGGAGGTTGTGGTGAGCCGAGATCGCACCACTGCACTCCAGCCTGGGTGACAAGAGCGAAACTCCATCTCAAAATAAAATGAAATAAAATAAAATGGCTTTTAGCTGCAAGACAGGCAAAGGAAATCCTGCCAAAGTGGTAGAGAAAGGAGAACCCTAATACCCTGTTGGTAGGAGTGTAAATTAGTACAGCCTTTACGGAGAAAAGTGTGGAAGTCCTTTAAAGAACTAAAAAGAGGTTGGGTGAGGTGGATCATGCCTGTAATCCCGGCACTTTGGGAGACCGAGGCGGGCACCTCAGTTGAGGTCATGAGTTTGAGAGCAGCCCAGCCAACATGGGGAAACCGCATCTATACTAAAAAAAACAAAAAGTAGCCAGGCATGGTGGCGTGCACCTGTAATCCCAGCTACTAGGGAGGCTGAGGCAGGAAAATCATTTGAACCCAGGAGGCGGAGGTTGCAATGAGCCAAGATAACTTCACTTGTACTCCAGCCTGGGCACAGAGGGAAACTGTCTCAAAAACAAAAACAAAACAACAAACGAATAACTAAAAAGAGAACTTTCATAGTATCCAGCAATTTCACTACTGGGTTTATATCCAAAGGAAAGTAAATCAATATATCGAAGTGATATCTGCACTCGTATGATTGGTGCAGCACTGTTCACAGTAGCCAAGATGTGGAGTCAACCTACCTGCCCATCAGTGGATGAATGGATAGAGAGAATGTAGTACATACGCACAGTGGAGACTACTCATCCATAGAAAGAATAACATCCTGATATTTGCAGCCACATGGATGGAACTGGAAGTCATTACAAAGATTCCCATTTCTCACCCATATACAGAGCTAAAAGGTGGATCTCATGAAGGTAGAGAGTAGAATGGTGGCTTCCAGAGGCCAGGAAGAAAAGGGTGGAGGGTAAAAAAAAAAAAAATATATATATATATATATATATATATATATATATATGTATATATATGTGTGTGTATATATATATACACATATATATATATATAAATGTATTTATGACCACTAGACTTTACACTTAAAAATGGTAAATGTGGCTGGGCGTGGTGGCTCATGCCTGTAATCCCAGCACTTTGGGAGGCAGATGCGGGTGGATCACGTGGTCAGGAGTTGGAGACCAGCTCGACCAACATGGTGAAACCACCTCTCTACTAAAAATACAAAAAGTAGCCTGGCGTGGTGGTGCGCGCCTGTAGCACCAGCTACTCAGGTGGCTGAGGCAGAAGAATCACTTGAACCCAGGAGGCGGAAGTTGCAGTGAGCTGAGATTGTGCCACTGCACTCCAGCATAGGGGACAGAGCTAGACTCTGCCTCAAAAAAAAAAAATGTTAAAGGTGGTAAGCTATATAGGTATATTTATCCTCAATAAATATTTCTTCAAACAAAAGTAAAGGGTGTAGGGGTTGCTGGTGATGACATCCCTGTGTGGGTGAGAGGCCAGGATGGGCTTCTGGGAAACGGGTAATGTTGAGGGGCTGAGGGAACCTCTGATCTTCCCAAACTGAGCCCAGTCTCCCTCCTCTGGGTCTCTCCTGACCGCTTTCTCCATCTGCCTGGGTGCCTGGAGCCCTGGCCGCGGGCCTCCATGCAGGCCGTGTAGGAGGGTTTGGAGGTGCCCTGTCTGCCATCCTGTGCCCTGATCCCTCCCTCACACCCAAGCTTCGTCTTCTCTCTGCATCTGTCCATGCTTCTCTCCATCATCAGCAGGAAGCTCCTCAGCTAAGGCTCTAGGATCACAGGACATGAGACAGATATGGGGTTTCCTCACCTGTGACAGAAACAAGCAGTGGGTCACTCGAGTTTGACCACTCGTATGGAGAGTCACGGAAAGAGCCGAAGCATCTGTAGGTCCCTCCGTGGGTGGCAGGGCCCAGAGGAAAGTCGGCCTGGAATGTTCCGTTGACCTTGGGCCCTGCAGAGAACCTACGTTCATGGGCCTCCCCCTCCCTGGATAGATGGTACATGTCATAGGAGCTCCGGGAGCTGCAGGACAAGGTCACGCTCTCTCCTGCCAGAACCGTGGGGCCCGGCTGGGCTGAGAGAGAAGGTTTCTCATATAGACCTGGAAGGAGAAGAGGCATTTTCCTCAGGGAGGATCTTCCTTGTCACAGCTCCCTTCACCTGAGCTGAGAACTCACTCCCCTGCTCTATGACCTAATGCTCTCTCTCTCTCTCTCTCACCCTCCACCCCATCTCTCTTCATGTCTATTTCCTTCTTCCACCTTCTCTGTCTCTCTAGGTCTCTGACCTCGCTTCCCCACCTCTAGATATGTTTTCCGTTTTTGGATTGTTTTATTCTCTCTGACTCTCCTTGGATTGGTTGACTTGATGTTACTTTTTTAAATTCTAAGTTTCTCACGTTGTGTCCTGTTCATAACTTTCTGCATATTTCTATCTATTATCTGTCGATCTATCTATTTATCTATTCAGTGCCTATCTACAAATTCTCTACCTGTCATCTATATCTATATATCATCTATGTATCTATCACTTGTCTATCTATCCATCAATCATCTGTTATTTATATGTATGTATCATCTCTCTCTCTATGATTTCTGTCTGCCTCTCTATCTGTACGTATTATCTGTCTTCATCATCATCATCTCTATGTATTATCTATTAATGAATCAATCAATCATCATCTATGTATCTTTAACCTATTATCTATCATCTACCTATTTATCATCTATCTATATCTATCCATCTATCATCTGTGTTGCTCTGCCTCTCGGTCTCTCTAGCTCTCTTTGGAATCTCTGCAATTCATCCCCACATCTCCATGTTTCTATGTCCTTGTGCCTCTCTCTCAGGACTCTAAATTTAGTGCTTTTCTCTGCTCCCTGCCATCATTCTCACCACTCCTCTGCCCTCTTTTCTCTCTCTTTATGTGTCTGTGAGTCTCTCAATCTCCTTCCTCTGGCTCATTCTCTGTGTGTTTATGTCTTTGCTTTTTGGTGTTCCTGATTTTTCTCTGTGCCTCTCAGTGATCCTTTCATATGTGGGGTTATTTGGAATGTGAGCCTCAGAATCCAGTCTGGAGACCACAAGTTCACACAGCATACAGGGGTTGGTGTTCTGGGGCCATGATATCCTGGGACAGTTACTCTCCATTACATGGAAGGCAGAGGTGTCAGAATAAACATGGCCTGTAGGTGCCACAAGGCCTGAGGCCACAGGGCCCAACTCAGGTCATAAATATGGGTGTCCTTGGGTTCTCCTGGTAGAGAACACTTTGTGGAGGTAAAACAGAAATGAAACTTCTAACCTGTGCCAGGTCTGTGAGCAAAGTCAGCATGGAGGGACACCTCTCTCTGGGACATGTCTGTCTGTCTGTCTCTTTTAACTCTTTCTGTCTTTTCTAACTCCCTGTATGGCCCCTGTGTCTGTCCTCTGTTATGACACCTGGTCTGTACTTGTGTCTCCTGTTTCTCTGTCTCTGTTGGTACAAACCTCAGCAAGTCAGTCTCTCTCCATAAGAATACCAAGCTCATCTTCCTTACAACTACCTGGGGGTTCCAAGTCATGGATCATTCACTCTGCATCCCAATGACAATGAGAATGTCCGGACACTCTCACCTGTGATGACGATGTCCAGAGGGTCACTGGGAGCTGACAACTGATAGGGGGAGTGAGTAACAGAACCGTAGCATCTGTAGGTCCCTGCAAGGTCTTGCATCATGGGACCGATGGAGAAGTTGGCCTTGGAGACCCCATCATGGTGCTCTCCAATGAGGCGCAAAGTGTCCTTAAACTTCCCTTCTCTGTGCAGAAGGAAGTGCTCAAACCTGACATCTGACCAACATTGCAGGATGACTGTCTCTTCTGATTTCACCAGGGGACCTGGGTGGGCCCGGAGGGAAGGTTTTCTGTGGACTCCTAGGAAGAGAGGTTGTGAGTTTAGAAGGTGTCTCTCTTTATCATCCCATCCATGGCACCTAGAATGAGTGAGGCTTCCCCTTGCTGGTGTCTGTCTCTCTCCTTCCTCTCTGTGTCTTCATGTTCTTTTCTGTGCCCTTAACTCCTGGTGCAGGTCCTTCCATCTGTCTCCCTCCCTCTTCTCTGTTCCTCTGTCTCTAGTAGCCTCTGATTCCCTTCCCACTGGGCTTAGCCTCATCTCTTGGGGTGTTGTATCTATTTCACACTAATGTCTTTCCTGCTGTTTATGTGGGGGTGAAAGAGGAACCAGGATAGGCTGCACATCCAGGCTCTTATCAGCCTGGTTCAATCTCTTTTGGATGAATTGCAATCCTTGGCAGAAGGTATGAACTGATGAATAAAGCAGGCACCAGTGTCCACACACCCTGTTCCTGGTGGGGACTGGGAGACACTCTTGCCATGCCTGTACCTTCTCCATGGTGCCAGCTTCCATAGGCTGGCTCCTGGTGCTGGTTGGAGGAGTATCAACCCCTCCCTATGTGGATGGAGCCTGGTGGTGGCATCATCATCCCACACTTGCTGATCTCAGGGTAGCCAACCTTCTCCTTGTTTGGTTTCTTTAATTAATTAATTAATTTTGGAGACAGAGTCTCACTCCTTCCCCCAGGCTGGAGTGAAGTGGTGTGGTCTAGGCTCACTGCAACCTCTGTTTCCTGGGTTCAAGTGATTCTCCTGCCCTCAGCCTCCTGAGTCGCTAGGATTACATGCACCTGCCACCATGCCTGGCTTTCCTTGGGTTGTTTCTTAACTTGTCCTTGACCTGGGTTCCAGTGTTGGTTTCCTGTTGCTGCTGTAGAAAATTATCAGAAGCATGGCAGCAGGAGAGAGCACACTGACACCTTCCACTCCTGGAGACAGAAATTGGACCCTATTTTTCCTGGGCTAAAATCAAGGCATCTGCAGGGCTTTGTTCCCTCTGGAGACTCTGGAGAATCAGTTCCTTGACTTTTCCAGCCTCTATAGGCCACCTGCATTCATGGCTCTTGGCCTTCCTCCACCTTCAAAGCTGGTGAAGACTTCCACTGGACTGCTCTAATCCCCACTCCCCTCTTCCTCCTCCTTTCGTGTGCACCCTTGTGATTACACTGAGCCCAGTGGGACAGTCCAGGCTGTCTCCCCATGAGCTCCATCTTCCCCTTCAGTCCCTTCACCTATAACATAAATAGTCACAGACTCCAGGGATTAGAATGTAGTCATCACTGGGGACAATTATTCTTCCCACCACAGCACCCATTTCCCTGTATTCAATCCCCCTTTACCACAAATACAGTCAGGGCCTGCGTGATGGGACCCTCAAGGACATGCCCACCAGAAGCTCTGGGATTCAGGAGGTGGGACAAGAGAATCCAAGAGAGGAGCCCTCTGACCTATGACCACGATCACCAGGGGGTTGCTGGGTGCTGACCACCCACTGGGGGAGTGTGTGTGTGAACCCCGACATCTGTATGTCCCTGTGTGTGCGGGGGTCACAGGGCCCATGAAAAGGCTGTTCCAGAATATTCTGTTGTAGAGCTCAGGGACAGGCACCCCACCTTCCTTGTACAGACTGAAGTTGTTAAACCCAAGATAAGAGTGACACCGAAGAATGACATGTCCTAGAGGCACCACAAGGCTGGGCCAGGCAGACAGCAAGGGCTTGTCCTGACCACCTTGGGGAGAAGGAGGCGCCGCCTTAGAGAGGAGGATGTGGAACTGCCCCTCCCTCCCTGTGCTCAGAAGATTCTCCTCGCTTTCCACGTTTCTATGGCTACTATCACACCTTGGTGCCCAGGGCTGAAGGAAGGACCCATCCCGCAAAGACATGGTGTCTCCCTACAGCAAAAGCCTCAGCTGAGAACTTTGAGCAAGTGCTGAGTAAAGAGACTCCTGCTAGATTTTAATACTGTAAGATTACTCACATAAAACAACACAGGGTAGACATGAAGTGGAGGGCATGTCCTTTGTGAATGGATATCAGCGGATGCCTGAATGAAAATAAACAACTGAGCCCCCATCAGAGGATTTGGAATGTCAGGGCCATGGCTGTGGTTTCCCACCTCTTCTGGTAGAATGACAGGAGCCACACTGCAGCCCCTACCATCATGGAAACGCTGAAGTGTGTGAGTAACACCTTTGTCCTCAGAGGATCTGCTGTTCCTACCACTTCCCAACCACACACCCCAGCTTTGAGCACCCCAGTCTAACCCTGGTCCCCACAGAACTTGACTCTGCCAAGGGGTTGAGAGGCCAGGGAGGCGAGGTCAGAAATGTGGGCTGAGCACCCCAGGGTCCTCTCTTCCTAGTTTATGAGAGACTCCCCGACAGGACTTCCCTCCTGTTTCAGGAAAATCCTCTTATGTGGGGAGATGACACCCGAAGGTTTGGAGAAGGACTCACCCTCATGTGGCCAGGCCCCCTGCAGCAAGAAGAACCCTGGAAAGAAAGATCATGATGGACCATCCATCTGCAGGCAAACCAGGACTCCCTTGCTGCCCCCACTGGGCTGTGAGTCTTGGCAGCCAGGCCCTTCCTGGGCTGAAGGTAAACTCACCCTCAGTGCCTACCTGCACCCAAGAACAGGGCTGCCGGCTGTGCAGAGACCCAGTTTCCAGGCCCAGATCCCCACCCCAAGCCCATATCTCCACTCCAGGCTGATATTTCCACCCTAGGCCCATATCGCCAATCCAGGCTCAGATCTCTACCCTAGGCCCATATCTCCAATCCAGTCCCATATCTCCGCCCCAGGCCCAGATCTCCACCCTAAGCCCATATCTCCACTCCAGGCCCATATCACCTCTCCAGTCCCATATCTCCACACCCAGGCCCATATCTCCTTCCTAGGCCCATATCTCCACTCCAGGCCCAGATATCCACCTCTAGGCCCATAACTCCACTCCTGGCCCATATCTCCACTCCAGGCCCATATCTCTACTGCAGGCCCGTATCTCCACCTCCAGACCCATATCTCCACTCCAGGCCCATATCTCCACCTCCAGGCCCATATCTCCACCTCCAGGCCCATATCTCCACTTCAGGCCCATATCTCCACTCCAGGCCCATATCTCCACTCCAGGCCCCTATCTCTACTGCAGGCCCATATCTCCATCTCCAGGCCCATATCTCCATCTCCAGGCCCATGTCTCCACTACAAGCCCATATCTCTACTGCAGGCCCATATCTCAACCTCCAGGCCCATATCTCCACTCCAGGCCCAGATCTCCACTCCAGGCCCAGATCTCCACTTCTAGGCCCATCACTCCATCTCTAGGCCCATAACTCCACTTCCAGGCCTATATCTCCAACTCTGGGCCCCGATCTCCATCCCCGCACTCCCTCCCTCGATTCCCTTCCAGGACTCACCAACACACGCCATGCTGACGACCATGAGCGACATGGTGCTGTCTGTGCAGACAGTCGGCCGCGCCCCAGCTCAGCTCAGCAGCGCACAGGATGTTATTTGGCGCCCTGCCCATGCAGTTTACATGTTGACCACATCATGGGAGGGTGACGTACGCAGGCTCTTTCTACCTTGCATGAGGCCCAGTGGGTGCTCGCTCAAGAGCGGAACACGGCTTCCTGGAAATTGTTCTCACTAGAATTGACACCTTGCGTCCTTCACTACGACCAGACTCAAAAGACGTCTCAGATCCAACCTCTCATACACGAGATGATTGAATTCTGTGCTTACATTAAAGATTTTTGATGTATTTTTGTTTTTATCTGAGATTCAAACTCTTCTTCATATGTAATGTGCAAAATGTCTAACAGGTATTATTAACATTATCAGAGTAATTGTGACAAGAAGCCATTCTAATTTTCCTGCTTGAGTTTCTAGTACTAAACCAGAGGCATCAGAATAGCTTGAACCTGGGAGACGGAGGTTGCAGTGAGCTGAGCTCAAGCCACTGAACTCCAGCTTGGGTGACAGAGGAAGAGTCTGTCTCAAGAAAAAAAAAAAAGCAAACTAAATAACCTATAATAACAAATCAGAGGACTCAGGTTACCAAATTTTAAGGGGTTCTATAAGTTTATATAAAATGCAGCATCCTCATGAGAGGGGATACAGAGAACCACTGGACAGAAAACTGTGTCTAAAATACATCTGTGGATACACAGTCCCTTTATAGTTGACAAAGGCTGCCATGTAGTTTAAGGTGGAATAGAATATTTTCTCAACAAATAACACAGGACCATAGGGTTACACGTAGGAAAAAATAAATCTAAACTTATCCTCACACTATAAAAACACTTCTTATTTTTTATCTTGTTGTTGTAAATTTTTTATGCTTTATTTTTAAGATTGACAAATAAAAATTATATACCATGGTCCTTCACTATACCTGCGTGATTGGTTCCAGGATCCCCATTCAGATACCAAAATCTGCAGATGCTCAAGCCCCTTGCATGAAATGGCATAGTGAAGCTGGGCACCGTGGCTCACGCCTGTAATCCCAGCACTTTGGGAGGCTGAGCTGGGTAGATCACAAGGTCAGGAGTTCAAGACCAGCTGGTCCAACATTCTGAAACCCCGTCTCTACTAAAAATATACACACAAAAAAATTTATCTGTGCAGGGTGGCACGTGCCTGTAATCCTAGGGGAGGCTACTGGGGAGGCTGAGGGAAGAGAATCGCTTGAACCTGGAAGGCGGAGGTTGCAGTGAGTTGAGATCACGCCACTGCACTCCAGCCTGGGTGAGAGAGTGAGACTGTCTCAAAAAAAAAATAGCATAGCAATTGCATAGAACCCATGCACATCCTCCTGTATACATGAAATCATCTCTTGATTACTTATAATTCCTGACACAGCCTACACGCCACTCAATTTGTGTCGATTCAACATAGTTTTTTGCTTTTTGAAACTTCGGGGATTTTTTTTCTCAAAATATTTTTGATTTATTGCTGATTCAATAAACGTGTAAACCCCAGAGATATGGAGGAGTGACTGTCTATTTATAGTAGTATGAAAGATGATGTGTTGATATGTGTCCCTGTGGAGATGAGACTAACAAGGCCTATGACTCTACAAATGTTTCATCGTGGAATGACTCTGCCAGCTTTCCAGATCTGCAGAGAGTTAAGAATATCACTTGTTCATCTGATTCACCATCCTTGGAACCTCCTATGTGCTGCATCTTTGGATGGAAATTGGAGTCTCAGAGACAATTCAGGCTCCACCCTGCTTCCAGAAGCTCAGAGTCCAGGGGTGAGAACCCAGCGGAGAACAGATGGGGTTATGTGGACGTGGTAATGATAACACCGGAAGCCTTAGTCAAGAAAAGAGTCCCATTGACGAAACCATGAGGGCAGACATGTTTACTTGAAGAATAGAAAACTACATTGAAATTATAAAAAAAATTTATAAGTTTTACTGCTGACAGAAGGCTGAAAGATAGTCTGAGGAAAGGTGGAACAACATGAGGAAAGGTGGAATAGCATGTATCTAAGTGCCGTGTTAAGAGGGAGCCTCTTATATGTTTGGAATTGTGAGTTCCTCAGTGTGATCGCAGCCTCAAGTAGACTAGGAAGTAAGCCAGTTAGGTTGGAGAGGTGGGCAGGGGTCAAGTGAAATGGAGAATTGTGGGCTAAGCAAAGGAGTGTGTTTTCTTTCCAGCAGGCAGTGGGGACCTAGACATTTGTAAGCAAGAGAGAGGCACCAGATTTGTGGCGTGAGGAGGAGCGATGCCCTAAGATGAAGACTCACGCCTTCAGATTCCAGCTGCTGGTACATGGGAGCTGGCAACCCGGTTTTGAGACAGGGCTGTTGTCTCCCTAGAAGATCCCATCAAGGCCTGACTGTGGTGCTGGTGGACAGAAGACAACTTTGGATCTGCGCTCAGCATTTGGAAGTTCCGTGTTACACGCTGGTATCTGTTGGGGGTGTCTTGGGCCTCTGAGAAGGGCGAGTGATTTTTCTCTGTGTGAAAACGCAGTGATTCAACTGTGCGTATGTCACCTCCTGAGGGTCTTGATCATCAGAGTCCTGGAGGGAGGGAAATGCTGAGTGAGGGAGGGTGCTCACATTTTTCAGGACTGTTTGGGAATAAGACTAGCCACGAGGCTGGGCTGAGGAGCACCTACCTCCCTGTTCACTGTTCTGTTCCCTGCAGGCTCTTGGTCCATTACAACAGCATCTGTAGAAGACGGAAGTCGTCAAAACAGCTCGGAGGGCACTTCTGGGTCCTCATTTCATAAGCAGATACCAACATACAGGGGGAGGCCATAGGTGCCTGAGGTCCCTCAGTTGCCAACAGCAGACTCAGACATTCTATCTCTCTGAGCTCAAGGACCCATCCCATGAATAGCTCTGAGTTCCCATCCCATTGATTCTGTCTCCCACTTTCTGCCTGTCATGGAACCTTCTCCTGGATGTGAGTGGCTGCAGGGGACATGAGGATACAGTTCAGAATCAGGCAATGGTCTGTGAGCTGAAGGCAGGGGCAGGGAGTCTGGTGCTCTCTCTAGAAAGTCCTGCCTCTGTGGCTCCTGCCTTGGGCCAGGGACCATCCTGCCTGTAAGGAACACACACCTGAGTGCTCCCATCCTGCTTCCCCACATGGCCCTGAGCTCTCTGGCTTCTGCTTCGTGAGACTTACTCTTTTTGTTGGGACACCAGCGATGAAGGAGAAAGAAGAGGAGGATAGCAAAGGGGATGATGACCACTGAGGTCCCAATCAGAACGTGCAGGTGTCTGGAGTTACCTGGAGGAAGACAAGACACCAATAAGAAGCTAATCATAGCAGTTCCTCTATATGAATTGTCTCACATTTCTTGATTGACAGGTAACCACATACAACGTCTCTTTAGGACAAGCACCCAGATGGCGGGAGACCTAGCTTCCTCCTGCTTTCTCAGTTGTAGTAACCATAGAACGTGCTGAGGATACAACTGCTTTAGTTTAGATGTTTGACCCCTTCAAACCTCACATTGAAATGTAACCCCCAGGGTGGGAGGTTGGGCCTCTTGGGAGTTGTTTGGGTCATGGAGGTGGATCCATCATGAACAGATCAATGCTGTCCCAAGGAGACGGGGTTAGCAAGTTCCCCCTCTATTAGTTCCTGGAGAACTGGTTGTTAAAAAGAGCTTGGAAGCTCCATCGCTCCCCCTCCCCCTTGCTCCCTCTCTTGCCGTGTGATCTCTGTGGTCTCTGCACAGACAGACCCTCCTTCCCTTCTGCCAGAGTGGGAGCAGCCTGAGGCCGTCACAAGAAATAGATGCTGGTGCCATGCTTCAAGTACAGCCTGAAGAACTGTGAGGCAAACACATTTCTTTTCTTTAGAAGTTACCCAGGCTCAAGTGTTCCTTTAGAGCAACAAAAATGGACTAAGACAGCAACGTCCTGAGATCAGGAGGAACATCCCAGAACAGCCTGGGCTGTCTTCCTGTTCTTCCTGGAGGAGGATGTCATGCAGTGCTTTAGCTGAGTGCTTCCTGTGGCTCCAGGGTACAAAACCCAGGCTGGGCTGCTTTTTGATTTCCCCCAGATACACTGCATATGGGGTGACTCCACATGTCTCGAGCAGCTTTTCTGAGCCTTGAGGGACTGGCTCACATTGAAATGTAGGCTTCTGTTGTCACTCGCTGCTTATCTGTTAGTAATGAACCTGCCTGTGTAATGTGTTCTCTGTGTGTTCTGTCTCCCTGGAGTGACGGTGAGTGATAGGAATTGGTATAGGCCCAGGTGCATTCCAGGAGGTGTTTAGAATCTTCTCTGGGAAGACTGGATTGGGATTGATACACAGCGAATGTGCTTTACAGTTTCTACCACCACAACCCTCTTGACTCAAAAAAAATTACATTCTCCAAGAAAAGAAAGAAAAAATGAAATCAAGATAAAAAAAGTGAAGTAGAACTGACTTAAATCAAACAGCCATGAAATAATGATGTAGCCCAGGAACAACATGCTACTTTTTGTGATCTGCTGAGACATATATTAGGCTGCTATTCCACCCGAGAAGCACGGGGAAGGACCGCCCTCTCCGTCGTTTATTGTTTCAATACAGCCTGTCCTTCTGTGAGTTAGTACGAAATGTGACCAGGGGCTAGTGCTGGCACTGGTCTCTGAGTCCAAGATCTGAGCTCACTCCAAAGAGTATTAGTGTTTACCTCCCCATGATCTATCTGTATCTCCATAGGTGATTGGAAGTAGAGATGAATTGGGGGATTTGGGTGAAGGGGCAAGTTTTATGCCATGAACAGAGCACGTTCTCTATTCCAGGACCTGTGCTGGTGGGTTCAGGAGGCTTTCACATTTTCCATATGATCCCAAGCTCACAGAAAGCCAAATAAGGAAGAGGTTTAACCTGATTGTTTAATGGATAAGATAAAGGGTCAAAGAATTAAACACAGAGAAATAGAAAAATGATGGTTGGTATCCAGTTGCCTTTGTAATTTCTGTGTGTCATAATTATGTATGTTTTATTTTTATTTTTTGAGACAGAGTCCCCCTGTGTCAGGCTGGAGTGCAGTGATGCGATCTCAGTTCAACCTCTGCCTCCAGGGTTGAAGCCATTCTTCTGCTTCAGCCTCCCCAGTCGCTGGGATTACAGGCAGGTGCCAATGCACCAGGCTAATTTTTGTATTTTTAGTACAGACGGGGTTTCACCATGTTGGCCAGGCTGGTCTCAAACTCCTACCCTTAAGTGATCTACCCGCCTTGGCCTCCCAAAGTGTTGGGTTACAGGTGTGAGCCCCCATCCACAGTCTTGTATATTATATTATACTAGGTCCCTTCATTTGCACCACCCCTCATGTGTCTATCGCTCCTCTGCCAGGTATGGATTTAGATGTAGAAAAAAAACACATCTCAGAAAGAAATTAATGAAACAAGGATTAAACTACTAGGAAAAATCAAACCCAGCAAGCCCTCCCTGCAAATGATTCTACCTCACAAGCATAGCTTATATCCATCTTTCATTCATTTAGTGTGTAAATCAACCCTACGTTTCACCAGTGGGGCGGGAATTGCCTTTTCCACCGTCTCCTAGATTCCAGTTACGCACCTGGGCCTCCCTTATTTTCATGTCGGTCACTGTTAATCAGGTAGGGATTCCTAGTTAGCTCTGAGTTGAATCCAAGGGCTGTGAGTATCAAAAACATGCTCCTTGTTCCTCCTTAGTTTCCTGTGTACCCAGTGTGCTCTCCATCTCTCTACAGTTGTCTTGTCATTCTCCCCATCTCATTCCCAGCATTTGAGGCAGAGCCTCTTCCTTGAACTAAGAATGTTTCCACCTTTGTGCCTTCACGGCTGAGAGCTCAGTGTGGAAAATCCTTCCGCCAATCTTCCAAGGGTTGAATCCATTTTTTCCATTAAGGTCACAAATATTATCTGATCAGTGAGACCTTCTCTGTCACCTGAAATTATATACTCAGCATTATCTATTACTTATTTTAAATCCTGGCTGGGCGCAGTAGCTCTCGCCTGTAATCTTTGCACTTAGGGACGCTAAGGCGGTGGGATCACTTGAGATTGGGAGTTTGAGACAGCCTGCACAACATGGTGAAACCTCATTTCTACTAAAAAATATACCAAAAAAATTAGCCGAGTGTGGTGGCGCACAGCTGTAATCCCAGCTACTCGGTAGGCTGAGGCAGGAGAATTGCATGAACCCAGGAGGCAGAGGTTGCAATGAGCTGAGATTGTGCTACTGCACTCCAGCCTGTGGAACAGAGAGAGACTCTACTCAAAAAAAAAAAAGAAAACAAAAAACACACACACACACAAAAAACCCCAGATTTGGTGCACAGATGCTTCCCAATGGATCATTCATTTATTGGTACCCTTGTGCATTCATTCTCTGCCCTCGCATTTACCCATCTGCAATATCAGCGTCCCAAGAGCAGAGGCCAAATGCATCCTGTTTACCATTTGTGGAAGGCAGGAGAATGCTGCCCCACCCCCAAAATGTCCCTGTCTTAGCCTCCATAGCTTGTGAATATGTTATTTTACAGGAAAGGAGGAATGAAGATTGCAGATGGCATTACGGTTGCTAATCAGCTGAACTTAAAAAGAGGGTACGCTGGATGATTTTAGGGAGATTGAGATGGATTATCTTGGTGACCCCAATAGAATCCCAAAGTCCTTAAAAGATGAGGAAGAAGGCAGAGCAGGATTCAGAGAAAAAGGTATGGGTAAAGAAGAAGAGTCTGAATGATGCCATGTGAGACGTGACCAGCCTTTGTGGGCTTTGAGGAAGGAGGAAGGAGGAAGGGGACCAGGGGCCCAGGAACGTGGGAGCCTCTAGGAGCTGGGAAACGTTAAGGAGCAGATTCTTGCTTGGAACCTTAAAAAGAAATCCAGCCTTACTGTCCCTTTGATATCAGCCCAGTGAAATGCAGTTCATACTTCTGAGTTACAGCACTGTGAGATAATTAAGAAAAACATGTTTTCATCCACGAAGCTTGTGGAAATTTGTTATGGCAACAATAGGAAAAGATTCCACACTGCACAGCCAGAGCATGGGGCATTGGCTGAACGAGTGAGTGAGTGGAAGTGTCGTGTGCATAAATAAGCTAAATTCTCTCTTACTGCACGTCTCTTGCTCTGCTGAGTCAACCAGGGTTGCATCTGGTACACTGCTGATACGAATGCAAATTAGTACAGCCATTACAGAGGAGAAGAGTATGGAAGTTCCTCAAAAAATAAAATGAGGTCGGGCACAGTGGTTCATGCCTGTAATCCCAGCACATTGGGAGGCCGAGGTGGGTAGGTCACTTGAGGTCAGGAGTTGAAGAGCAGCCTGGCCAATATAGCGAAACTCTGTCTCTACTAAAAATATAAAAATTAGCCGAGTGTGGTGGTGGGAGCCAGTAACCCAGCTACTTGGGAGGCTGAGGCTGGGGAATCTCTTGAATCCTGGAGGTGGAGGTTGCAGTGAGCCCAGATGGCACCACTGCACTCCAGCCTGGGCAACAAGAGTGAAACTGTCTAAAAAAAACAAAAACAAAAACAAAAACCATAAAACAAAATGTAAAAAGACACTTCCAGAGGATCTAGCAATTCCATGACTGGGTGTAAACCCAAAGGAAAGGACATCAGCGTATCGAAGTGACATCTGCACTCCCATGACTGTTCCAGCAGTGTTCACAGTAGCCAAGATGTGGATCAACCTACCCGCCCATCAGTGGGTGAATGGATGGAGAGAATGTGGTACACACACACAATAGGGACAACTCATCCATAGAAAGAGTAACATCCTGTCATTTACAGCCACATGAATGGAACTGGAGGTCATTACAAGTATTTCCATTTCTCACTCATATGCAGGAGCTAAAAGGTGGATCTCACAAAGGTAGAGAGTAGAATGGTGGCTACCAGAGGCCAGGAAGGGAAGGGTGGAGGGTAAAAAAAAAAGAATACTAATTAATTAATTAATTAATTTTGAGAGAGTGTCTCTCTCTGTTGCCCAGGCTGCAGTGCAGTGGCATGATCTCAGCTCACTGCAACCTCCGCCTCCTGCAATTAAGTGCAACTCCTGCCCAACCCTCCCAAGTAGCTGGGACTACAGGCATGTGCCACCATGCTCGGCTAATTATTATCATTATTATTATTATTTTGTATTTTTAGTACAGATGGATTTTCCCCATGTTGGCCAGGGTGGTCTTGAGCCCCTGATCTCAAATGATCCACCTGCCTTGGCCTCTCAAAGTGTTGGGATTACAACAGTGAGCCACCGTGCCCAGCCTATAAATGTATTTATGAACAGTAGACTTCACACTTAAAAATGGTAAAGGTGGTAAATTACATAGGTATATTTCACCTCAATAAATATTTCTTCAAACAAAAAGAAAAGGGTGTAGGCGTTGCTGGTGATGACATCTCTCTGTGGGTGACAGGCCAGGATGGGCTTCTGGGAAGTGGGTAAGGTTGAGGGGCTGAGAGAACCTCTGATCTCCCCAGGCAGAGCCCAGTCTCCCTCCTCTGGGTCTGTTCTGACCTCTTTCTCCATCTGCCTGGGTGCCTGGAACCCTGATCAAGGGCCTCCTTGCAGGCCATACAGGAGGGTTTGGAGGTGCCCTGTCTGCCATCCTGCCCCCTGACCCCGCCCTTACACCCATGCTGTGTGTTCTGTCTCGGCATCTGTCCATGCTTCTCTCCATCATCAGCAGGAAGCTCCTCAGCTATGGCTCTAGGATCACAAGACATGGGACAGGCATGGTGTTTTCTCACCTGTGACAGAAACGGGCAGTGGGTCACTCGGGTCTGACCACGCGTGGGGCAGGGCACGGAAAGAGCCGAAGCATCTGTAGTTCCCTCCGTGGGTCACAGGGCCCAGAGGGAAGTTGGCCTGGAATGTTCCATTGACCCTCAGCACCGCAGTGAGCCTAAGTTCACCGGCCTCTGCCTCCCTGGATAGATGGTAAATGTCAAACAAGCTCCGGGAGCTGCAGGACAAGGTCACATTCTCTCCTGCCTGAACCGTGGGGCCCGGCTGGGCTGAGAGAGAAGGTTTCCCATATAGACCTGGAAGGAGAAGAGGTGGTTTCCTCAGGGAGGTTCTTCGTTGTCACAGCTCTCCTCACACCTGAGCTGAGAACTCACTCCCCTGCTCTATGACTTAATGCTCTCTTTCTCTCTCTCACCCTCCACCCCCATCTCTCTTCATGTCTATTTCCTCCTTCCACCTTCTCTGTCTCTCTAGGTCTCTGACCTCACTTCTCCATCCCTAGCTATGTTTTCTTTTTTTGTACCATTTTATTCTCTCTGACCCTCCTTGGACTGGTTGACTTGATCTTCCTCTTTCTTTAATTCTGAGTCTCTCACTTTCTGTCTTGCTCATAACTTTCTGCATATTTCTATCTACTATCTATTGATCGATCTATCATTTATCTATGTATGTATCTATCATCTATCATCATCTGTGTATCTATGACCTATCTCTCTGTTATCTATCATCTATCAATCAATGTATGTATGTATGCATCTATCCATCTATCATCATGTGTTTATCTGTCTTTCTATCTCTCTATATCTATTTATATATCATCTGTCTGTCTTTCTACTTGTCTATCTATATCATCTATCAGTCATTCATCATCTATTTGTCTATCACCTGTCTCTCTATTATCTATCATCTACCTTTTATCTTTCATCTATCTATATCTATCTATCCATCTATCATCTGTCTCTCTCCATCTCCTTGTCTTTCTCTGCCTCTCAGTCTCTCTAGTTCCCTTTTGGAGTCTCTGCAATCCATCCCCACATCTTTATCTTTCCCTGTCTTTGTGCCCCTCCCTCAGGGCTCTGATTTTAGGGCTTTTCTCTGCTTCCTTCCATCATACGCTCCACTTCTCTGCCCTCTTTTTCTATCTCTTTATGTGTCTGTGAGTCTCTCAATTCCCTTCTTCTGGCTCATTCTGTGTGTGTGTTCATGTCTTTGCTTTTTGATTTCCCTGATTTCACTCCGTGTCTCTCTGTGGGCTTTTGTTCTCAGTAATCCTATAACATGTGGTGCTATTTGAATATGAGCCTCAGAATCCAGTATGGGGACTCCAGGAACTCACAACATACAGGGGTTGGTGTTCTGCTCCCTCACCTGGGGCCATGGTGTCCTGCGACGACGACAGCTCCACTGCACGGAAGGCAGAGGTTTAAGAATAAACACAGCATCTGTAGGTGCCACCAGCCTGGGGCCACACGGCCCAACTCAGGCCAGATAGATGTGTCTCTTTGGGTTCTCCTGGGAGAGAACACTTTGTAGAGGTAAAACAGAATGGAACCTTCTAACCTGTGCCTGGTCTCTGAACAAAGTCAGCATAGAAGGACACCTCTCTCTGGGATATATCTGTCTCTCTGTGTCTTCTTTACCTCTTTATCTCTTTTTCTAACACCTTGTATGGCCCCTGTGTCTGGCTTCTATGTTATGACATGAGGTCTGTACTTGTGTCTCCTGTTTCTCTGCCTTTGTTGGTACAGACCTCACCAAGTCACTTTCTCTCCATAGGAACCCCACACTCATCTTCCTCATGACCACCTGGGGCTTCCAGTCCTAGATCATTCACTCCATCTCCCAGCAAGGGTGAGAGGCAGGTCTGTATTCTCTCACCTACGACCACGATGTCCAGAGGGTCACTGGGAGCCGACAACTCATAGGGTAAGTGAGTGACAGAACCAAAGCATCTGTAGGTCCCTGCAAGGGCAGGTGTCATGGGACCCATGGAATAGTTGACCTGGGAACCCGCATCGTGGAGCTGTCCAACGAGGCGCAAGGGGTCCTCAGTGATCCCCTCTCTGTGCAGAAGGAAGCGCTCAAACCTGACATCTGACCAACATTGCAGGATGACCGTCTCTCCCGATTTCACCAGGGGACCTGGGTGGGCCAGGAGGGAAGGTTTTCTGTGGACTCCTAAGAAGAGAGGTTGTGAGTTCAGAAGGCGTCTCCCTTTCTCATCCCATTCATGGGACCTGAAATAAGTGAGGCTTCCCCTCCATGGTGTCTATCTCTCTCCTTCCTCTCTGTGTCTCCGTGTTCTTTTGTGCCCATAACCCCTGTTGCAGGTCCCTCCATCTGTCTCCCTCCCTCTTCCCTGTCTCTCTGTCTCTAGTAGCCCTGATTCCCTTCCCACTGTGCTCAGTGTCACCTCTTATGCTGTTGTATCTGTTTCCCACTAATCTCTTTCCTGGTGTTTATGTGGGGGTGGAAGAGGAACCACGACAGGCTGCATGTCCAGGCTCTTAGCAGCCTGAATCAATCTCTTTTGGACAGATTGGAAAGGCTGGCAGGAGGTACGAACTCATCAGTAAGGCAGGCATCAGTGTCCCTGTTCCTGATGGGGATTGGGAGCCTCTCCTGTCATGTCTGTGCCTTCTCCATGGCCCCAGCTTCCATAGGGTGGCCCCTGGTGCTGGTTCCAGGAGCATCAACCCCTCCCTATGTGGATCGAGCCTGGTGGTAGCATCAGTATCCCACCCATGCTAAAATCAGTGTAGCCAACCTTCTCCTTGTTTGGTTTCTTAACTTGTGCTTCACCTGGGTTCCTGTGTTGGTTTCCTGTTGCTGCTGGAGAAAATTGTCACAAACATGGGGCAGGAGAGAATACAATGACCCCTTCCACTTCTGGAGAACAGAAATCGGACCCAGTTCTCTCTGGGCTAAAATCAAGGCATCTACAGGGCTGTGTTTCCTCTGGAGACTCAGGGAAGAATCAGTTCCCTTGACTTCTCCAGCCCTTAGAGGCCAACTGCCTTTGTGGCTCATGGCCTTCCCCCATCTTCAAAGCCCGCTGTGGCTGATGGAGTCTCCCTCCCACGACGTTGCTCTAACCCCACTTTCCTCTTCCTCCTCCTCTCATGAGGACCCTTGTGATTACTCTGAGCACAGCAGGACAGTCCAGGCTGTCTCCCCATCGCAAGGTCAACCCATCAACAACCTGAGCTCCATCTTCCCCTTCAGTCCCCTGCCCTATGACATAAATAGTCACAGGGTTCATGGATTACCATGTAGCCATCACTGGGGACAATTATTCTTCCCACCACAGCAACTATTTCTCTGTACTGAATCCCCCTTTACCCCAAATACAGTCTGGGCCTGGATGATTGGACCCTGATGGACGCCCCCACCAGAAGCTCTGGGATTCAGGAGGTGGGACAGTGAGAAGCCCAGACAGAAAGCCTCTGACCTGTGACCATGATCACCACAGGGTTGCTGGGTGCCGACCACCCAGTGGGGGAGTGTGGGTGTGAACTGCAACATCTGTAGGTCCCTGCATGTGCTGGGGTCACAGGGCCCATGAGAAAGCTGTTCCGGAATATTCTGTTGTAGAGCTCAGGGACAGGCATCCCGTCTTCTTTGGACAGACTGAATTCGTTAAACCCAAGACGAGAGCGACACTGAAGAGTCACATGTTGTCCTTCAGACACCACAGTGCCGGGCCAGGCAGAGAGGAAGGGCTTGTCCTGACCACCTGGGGGAGAAGGAGGCACTACCTTAGAGAGGAGGATGTGGAGCCGCCCCTCCCTCCCTGTGCTCAGAAGATTCTCCCATTTCCACGTTTCTAAGGCTCCTACCACACCTGGGTGCCCAGGGCTACAGGAAGGACCCATCCCGCATAGACATGGCGTCTCCCTACAGCAAGTGTCAGCTGAGAACTTTGAGCAGGTGCTGAAGAAGCGACTCTTACTAGATTTTAACACTGCAAAATTACTTACATAAAAGAACACAAGGTAGACACAGGATGGAGGGCATGATCAGCTAATGCATGAACCATAATAAACAACTGAGCCCCTATTAGAAGATCTGGAATGTCAGGGTCATGACTGTGGTTCCCCCACCTCTTAGGTAGAATGACAGCAGCCACATTGCAGCCCCTACCGTCATGGAAACGCTGGAGGGTGTGAGTTATGCTCTTGTCCTCAGAGGCCTGTTGTTCCTTGCACTGCTTCTCTCCCTTCCTCTGCCGGTGACACCACTTCCTCCCTGCACACCACTCCTTTGAGCACTTCAGTCTCCCCCTGGGTCCCCACAGACTCAGCCAAGGGAAAGAAAGGCCGGGGAGGGCTAGGACAGAACTGTGGCGAAGCTTCCCCTGGCTTCCTTTTCCTAGTTCATGAGAGATTCCCACATGGCTTCCCATGGTCAGCCCATCAGTCAACCCCCTGTGTCGCCTGCCTCCCGTTTCAGGAACATCATCTTATGTGGGGAGATGACAACCTAAGGTTTGGGGGAAGGACTCACCCACATGTGGCCAGGGCCCCTCCAGCAAGAAGAACCCTGGAAAGAAAGATCATGATGGATGATCCATCTGTACATCACCTCCAGGCCCATATCTCCACTCCAGGCCCATATCTCCACCTCCGTCCTATATCTCTACTCCAGGCCCATATCTCCACTCCAGGCCTATATCTCCACCTCTGTCCTATATCTCTACTCCAGGCCCATATCTACACTCCAGGCCCATATCTCCACCTCCAGGCCTGTATCTCCACCTCCAGGCCCGTGTCTCCATTCCAGGCCCATATCTGCACTCCAAGCCAACATCTCCACTCCAGGCCCATATCTCTACTCCAGGCCCATATCTACAGTTCCAGGCCCATATCTCCACCTCCAGGCCCATATCTCCACTCTAGGCCCATATCTCCACCTCCAGGCCCGTATCTCAATTCCAGGTCCATATCTGCACTCCAAGCCAATATCTCCACTCCAGGCCCATATCTACAGTTCCAGGCCCATATCTCTACTCCAGGCCCATATCTCTACTTCAGGCCCATATCTACAGTTCCAGGCCCATATCTCCACTCCAGGCCCATATCTCCACCCCAGGCCCATATCTCCACTCCAGGCCTATATCTCCACTCCAGGCCCATATCTCCACTCCAGGCCCATATCTCCACTCCAGGCCCAGATCTCCACCCCACCGCTCCCTCCCTCGATTCCCTTCCAGGACTCACCAACACACGCCATGCTGACGACCATGAGCGACATGGTGCTGCCGGTGCAGACAGGCGGCTGCGCCCCAGCTCAGTTCAGCAGCACACAGGATGTTGTGAGGGGCTCATGCAGTTTACATGCTGACCACATCATGGGAGGATGACGTATGCAGGCTATTTCTACCTTGCATGAGGCCCAGTGGCTGTTTGGTCAAGAGCAGAACATGGCTTCCTGGAAATTGTTCCAACTAGAATTGACACCTTGCATCCTTCACTATAACCAACTCAAAACACGTCTCAGATCCAATCTCTCATACAGGAGATGACTGAATGCTTGGCTTACATTAAAGACTTTTGATGTATTTTTGTTGTTTTTATCTGAGATTCAAACTCTTCTTCATGTGCTATTTTCCCCAGGCTGTTCTTTGACTTCAGAGTTCAAGCAATCCTCCTGCCCCAGCATTTCTAGCAGCTGGCAGTATGTCACAATCTGCCACACCCAAGTCACAACTTTTAGAACTTTTTTTTTTTTTGAGACGCAATCTCACTTCGTCACCCAGTTTGGAATGCAGTGGTGAGACCTCGGCTCATTGCAGCCTCCACCTCCCAGGTTCACGCAATTCTCGTGCCTCAGCCTCCTAAGTAGCTGGATTTACAGGCACCCACCACCACGCCCACCTAATTTTTGTACTTTTAGTAGAGAGGAGGTTTCTCCATGTTGGCCAGGCTGGTCTTGAACTCCTAACCTCAAGTGATCTGTCTACTTCAGCCTCCCAAAGTGCTGAGATTACAGGTGTGAGCCACCATGCCTGGCCGGGACATTCTATATGTGTGCGTATGTGTGCATTTATATACATATGGTTATACACACACACACACACACACACACACACCCTAAGCACTCACATATATAGTTGTTTCAAATTTTAAAAAATATAAATTTTGTATTTTTCTTTCTTTTTCTCACATTTGTGTTTCTATGACACCATATACATATTGAATTTTATAGCTCTATTTTATTCTTTTGGATTGCAGTTTAATAGTCCATGCATAACTTTATCAACATGTAATTATCCATTCTTTTTATCATGGACATTTGTGTTGTTTCCGGATTTTCTCTTTTATAACTCGGGCCTTGATAATCGTGTTTCTGTGTGATCCCTTGCATACATATGCTGAATTAATTAGACATATTTACCTAGAAATGAAATTATTGGTTTTGGGTGCAAGTTGGTGTTGAGCTTAACCAGGAAGTGCCAAAATATTTCCATCATGACCAAATGTGGCCTGGAAAGTTTTTTGGGGTCAATTTTCCTGTTTCTTCTAAGGAACAAAATTGATGTCACTGATTTTTCTGTCCTGTTTGTCATTTATGAATGTATGTACATATGCACGTATATATTTGCTTGCCATTTTATGTTTTTCCTCGACGTTACTTTGGAATTAATTTGCTGATGTGTAGTATTTCTGCAAGTGAAAGTTACCTATTTACTCAGCTCTTCCTTCTTTTCTAACACAGACATTTGAGGCTTATTGTCCCTTAACGCTGTTCTATCTGTATCCCCAGTCATTTGCCGAGATGTGTTTTCATTTTTAATTGATACAAAATATTTTCCACCTTTCTTTGAAATGTTTTTCTTCCACTCATTGTTTATTGCTATGTGTGTTTATTAATTTTAAAATATTTGATAATTTCCCCAGCATTTCCTTGTTGTACATTTATAATTTAATTCAACTGTTTCATCTATCATATTACCTATGATTCAGCATTTAAAAATTTATTTTGGTGAATGTTCCAGGGGTGCTAGACAAGTTTGTGGATTAGGAAGATTTGAGGTGGATGCTTTCTAAATGTCAGTTAAGAAAAAAATCATTCAAATGTTTTTCTTTATTTAAAAAAAATAGAGACGGGGTCTCACTATGGTGCCCAGGCTGGTCTCAAACTCCTGGCCTCAAGTGATCCTCCCATTTTGGCCTCCCAAAGTGCTAGGATTATTGAAATTATTAAATGTTTCATATCAACACCCAACCTTATGCACCCGCCGCCTACACAAATGTTTTTCAAGTCTTTCATATGCTTAATAATTTTCTGTGTACTTGTTCTGGAAGTGAGGTGAATGTTGCTATCTCTAGCTGCAATTTGGATGTGATTGATTATGTTTTGAATTATGCCTTTAATTTAATGTGTTTTGAGGTTCCAGCTTTAGGTGTGTAGGCATTTAGGATGATTATGTCTTATTTATGAATTTGCCTCTTTGTCATTATGAAGTACTCCTCTTCATATCTCCATATATCTCTTCTTTGTATGTGCATGGTGAAATATTTCATTCTTTGAGTTAAGAAACTTCTATTGAGGAATACTTTTTATTACAAACATTTACCTATTCTATGTATACAACTGACTAGAAGCATATTTTGCACTGGGCATTATCATGACAAGGTAATGTCATTCTTTCAATATTTACATCTTGTGGATTAGTATTTGAAGTGCAGCTTATGTAGACAGCATAAGGTTGGGTGTTGATATGAAACATTTAATAATTGCACACGTATTTGCCTCTTGGGATACTTCCACTTTTTTGAATTTCAAGTTACTAAATGGTATCATTAATCTTTGCTTCAAGAGCTTAACATTTATTGTAGAACAATGCTTCATGTAATAAATTGTGAGACATTTTTAATGGCACCTTTATTGCAGGAAAATGTTTTCCTTTTCAGGTTGAAAGATTCTAGTTTGAAATATTTTCTTGTAGCACTTTAAAAATGTTGGTCCACCTGTTTCTTACTTTCATAGTTTTGAATACAAAGTTTGCTGTCATTCTTGTATTTCTTCTTCTGTTTTTTATTTATTTATTTTTGACAGAATATCTTGCCGTCTCACCCAGGCTGGAGTGCAGTGGCATGATCTTGGCTCACTGCAACCTCTGCCTTCCAGGTTTCAGCAATTCCTGCCTCAGCCTCCTGAGTAGCTGGGACTACAGGCATGCGCCACCATACCCAGCCAATTTTTTTTTTTGTATTTTTTTTTTGTAGAGATGAAGTTTTGCCATATTGGCCAGAACTCCTGACCTCAAATGATCCACCTGCTTTGGCCTCCCAAAGTGCTGGGATTACAGGTGTGAGCCACTGTGCTCAGGCTATTTATTCCTTTTTATATAATATGAATTCACATTCATACATACCAGGGGTTAGGATTTCAACAAACGTTTCTGGGGGAGACCACTCAAAACACAGCACTCATCCTTGGTTATTTCCAGCCATGGAGCCTGTATCAATATCCTGGTGAATTATCTAAGCTGTCCACCTACCTACCCCAAATCCTCATGGTCACATAAAAGGCTAGTATAGTATAATAATTTTTCTTTCCCTGCTTATCTACAGTGATGAAGAAACGAATATTCAAAGGGAAAAATCTTAGCTTTAGGTATAGGGTAATTCTTCTTCCTATTTTTAAATAACTTCAACCTTTACTGTAGATTAAAGGTATGCATGCAGGTTTGTTACATAGGCATATTGTGTGACTCTGAGGTTTGTGGTTCCAACAATGCCATCACCCAGGCAATGAGCATAGAATCCAACAGGTGTTTCTTCAGCCTATACCTCCCTACTCCTCCCCCCATCTGTAGTCCTCGGTATCTGTTGTTTCCATCTTTATGTTCATGTGTATTCAATGTTTGGTTCTCAGTTATAAGTGATAACATGTGGTATTTGGTTTTCTGTTCCTGGGTTAGTTCACTTAGGAGATTGACCTCCTGCTACATTCATGTTGCTGCAAAGGACATGATTTCATTATTTTTTATGGCCATGTAATGTTCCATGTGTATATGTAGCACATTTTCTTTAACTAATCCACTGTTGGTGAGCACTTAGGTTGACTGCAAATCTTTGCTATTCTGAATTGCACAGCAATGAATATACTAGTGCATGTGTCTTTTTGACATAGTTAATTACCTTCCTTTTGGTATATACCCAGTAGTGGGATTGCTTGATTGAATAGTAGTTCTATTTTAAGTTATTTGAGAAGTCTCCAAACTGCTTATCACATTGGCTGAACTAGTTAACATTCCCACCAAGAGTGTATAAGTGTTCCCTTTTCTCCACAATCTTGTCAGCATCTGTTATTAAAAAAAACAAAAAACTTTTTAGTAATTGCTTCTGCTTCTCTGATTGTTGTGAGATGGTATCTCACTGTGGTTTTAATTTGCATTTCTCTGATGATTACTGATAATAAGCATTTGTTCATATGTTTTTTGGCCATGTGTACATCTTCTTTTGAGAAGTGTCTGTTCATGTCATACTTAATTGAGGTTTTTTGGTTTTCTGCTTGTTGATTTGTTTACATTCCTTATAGATTCTGGATATTAGAACTTTGTCAGATGCATAGTTTGCAAATATTTTCTCCCAGTCTGTAGGTTATCTGTTTACTCTGTTGATACTTTCGTTTGCTGTGCAGAAGCTCTTCAGTTGAGTTAGGTCCCAATTTCTGTCTTTGTCACAATTGGTTTTGGGGAGTTAGCCATAAATTCTTTGCCAAAGTCTATCTTGAGAAGGATATTTCCTAGGTTTTCTTCTAGAATTTTAATATTTTGAGGTTTTACATTTAAATCTTTAAACTATCTTGGGTTAATTTTTGTATATAGTGAGAGTTAGGGGTCCAGTTCTATTATTTTGCATATGAGTAGTCAGTTATCCCAGAACTATTTATTGAAGAAAGGGTACTTTCCACATTGCTTGTTTTTGTCAATTTTTTCAAAGATGATTGTAGGTATGTAGCCTCATTTCTGGGTTCTCTATTCTGTCTCATTGGTCTATGTGTCTGTTTTTGTAGTAGTATCATGCTGTTTGGGTTACTATAGCATTGTAGTATAGTTTGAAGTTGGGTAATGTGATGCCTGGGCTTTGTTCTTTGTGCTTAGGATTCCTATGTGTATTCAGGCTCTTTTTTTGGTGCCAAATACATTTTAGAATAAATTTTTATAATTTCGTGAAAAATGACATTGCATTTTGAAATGGATAGCATTGACTCTGCAATTTGTTTTTGGAAGTATGGCGATTTTAACTATTTGTTCTCCTAATTCATGAGCATGGAATATTCTTCCATTTGTTTGTATCATTTCTTATTTCTTTCAGAAGTGTTTTGTAGTTCTCCTTGTAGAGAATTTTCACCTTCTTGGTTAGATGGATTCCTAGGTATTTTATTTTCTTTGTGGCTAGTGTAAATGGAATTGTGTTCTTGATTTAGTTCTCAGCTAGAATGTTAGTGGTGCATAGAAATGTTACTAATTTGTGTACATTTTTTTAATCCCGAAACTTTATTGAATTTGTTTATCAGTTTCAGGAGCCTTCTGACAGAGTCTTTAGGGTTTTCTATGTATAAAATTATTTCATCAGCAAAGAGAGACAGTATCACTACTTCTTTTCCAATTTTAATGCCTTTTATTTCCTTCTCTTGCCTGATTGCTTTGGCTAGGACTTCCAGTACCATGTTGAATTAAAATGGCGGGAGTGGTCATCCTGGTCTTGTTTCGGTTCTCAAGGGGTATGGTTCCAGCTTTTGCCCATCAATATGATGTTGGCTGTGGGTTTGTCATAGATGGCTCTTAATATTTTGAGGTATGTTCCTTTGATGCCTATTGACAGTTTTTATCATGAAGGGATGTTGGATTTTACAGAAAGCTTTTTTTGCATCTATTGAGATGATCATATAGTTTTTGTTTTTAATTATGTTTATGAGGTGAATCACATTCGTTGACTTTGTAGGTTGAACCAACCTTGCATCCCAAAAATAAAGCTTACTTGATCATGTGAATTAACTTTTGATGCACTGACAGATTCAATTTGCTAGCATTTTGTTGAGGATTTTATGTCTATGTTCATTAAGGATATTTAGTTGTAGTTTTCTTTTTTTCATTATGTCTCTGACAGATGTTGGTATCATGGTGATGATGGCTTCATAGAATGAGTTAGGAAGAAGCCCCCACTCCTTGATTTTTTCCAAAAGTTTCAGTAAGATCGGTATCAGTTCTTCTTTGTATGGCTGTTGGATTTTGGCTGTGAATCCGTCTGGTCCTGGGCTATTTTTAGTTAGTAGGGTTTTTATTACTGATTAAATTTCTGAACTTGTTATTGGTCTGTTCAGGTTTTCACTTTCTTCCTGGTTGAAATATGATAAATTTTGTGTTACCAGGAATTTATCCATTTCTTCTAGGTTTTCTAGCTTGTTTGTATAGAGGTGTTCATAATAGTCTTTGACGATCTTTTCTATTTCTGTGGGATTGTTCGTAACATTGTTTTGTCAGTTCTATTTGTGTTTATTTGGATCTTTTCTCTTTTTCTTTGTTAATCTAGCTAACAGTCTATGAATTTTGTTTATTTTTTTTCAAAGAAAAACTCTTGGTTTTATTTATCTCTTGTATGGACTTTTTGGTCTCAATTTATTCAGTTCTCTCTGACTTTAGTTATTTCTCATCTTTTGCTGGCCTTGGGTTTGGACTGTTCCTTTTTTTTAATAGTTCCTCTAGATGCAGTGTTAAGTCACTAATTTGAGATCTTTCTAAACTTCTGATGAGGCATGTATTGCTATAAATTTTCCTCTTATCACTGCTTTAACTGCATCCCAAAGGTTTTGGTAAGTTTGTTTCTATTTTTATTAATTTTAAATAATGTTTTGTGATTTCTGCTTTAATTTCATTGTTCACCCAAGAGTTCTCAAGGGGTACAGTTCCAGCTTTTGACCATTCAATATGATGTTGGCTGTGGATTTGTCATAGATGGCTCTTAATATTCATTCAGAAACAAGTTGTTAAATTTCCATGTTTTTCTGTAGTTTTGAGAGATCATCTTGGTATTTTTTTCTATTTTTATTGTGTGCCTTGTTATGATTTTGATTCTTTGAATTTATTGAGACTTGCTTTGTGGCCAGTCTTAGAATATGATATGTTTTTTGTGTGTGCAGATAAGAAGAATCTATATTCTGCAGTTGTTGGGTGGAGTACTCTGTAGATGTCTATGAGGTCCAATTGGTCAAGTGTTGTCTTTAAGACCAGAATTTCTTTGTTAGTTTTCTGTTTTAGTGATTCATCTGACGTTGTTAGTGGGATACTGAAGTCCCTTACTATTATTGTGTGGCTGTCTAACTCTTTTCATAGGTGAAGAATAACTTGTTTTATGAATCGGGGTGCTCCAAATTTGGGTGCATATATATTTAGAATAGTTAAGTCTTCTGTCAAATTGAACCCTTTATCATTTTGTAATGCCCTTCTTTGTCCTTCCTGATTGCTGTTGATTTAAAGTGTGTTTCATGTGATATAAGAATAGGAATGCCTTCCTTTTTTTTGTTTCCTGGTTGCCTAGTAAATATTTCTTCATCCTTTTACTTTGAGCCTGTGGGTGTCATTACATGTGAGATGGGTCTCTTGAAGACAGCAGGCAGTTGGCTCTTGGCTTTTTATCCACGTTGCCACTCTATGCCTTTTATGTGGGGAATTTAGGCCATTTACATTTCTTCTCCTGATATATCCTTTTTATATTTTTATGATTGCCTTTTAAAATATATTGAATGGTTGTAATTCCAGGGAAATGTCTTTCAGAACAGTATTTATTCCCATCTACATGTTTTGGAGAGTGCACTAGGGGACATTGAAGTTTATTTCCTGAAAAGAGTTTAATTTTAAAATGTATTTTATTTAATAACTCAATGATTCAGGGAATGTCTAGGTATTTCAGAGATTGTTTTAGACAGTTTGTTTTCTTGTGATATGTGACCACTTCATCTAAGCTGAATAATGTCTTCATAATGTCCACTTAGAATCTTTTGAATTCTGTAGGATCTGTACTGATGTCATTGTTTCCTTTCTGATATTGGTAATTTTCCTGGGGTAGGATTCTTAGCTCCTCCTGAGGTCCTGCCTCTAAAATTCAGGGAACAATGAGTCAGATTAGTACTCTGATTTCAAAGGGAAAGCTGATCATCTACCATTTTTTGTTTATGTAAATGGACACATTAACATCCCTTGTCTGAACCTTAGTTACCTTGTTTGGAGCATTTTGCTATAAATCTCACTTCTCAGAGTGGTTGTGGGGCTTGATGTGGCTGGGGTATGGGATGGCTTAAACATAATTTATTTCCAGACCAGGTTAAGGCATGAAGGGGTTGGGACTTGTTAGAATCCTGTTGTCGGACTCCACAGTAAGGGTAGACATTTGAGGCACCCAATCAAAAACCTCAGTTGTTCCTAGCACTGAGAAATTTGATAGAATGTTTCTAAAACATTATTCATGGTCTAATGCACAAAAAGTAAAGTGATAGCCCTGGAAGTAGACAGGGAACCATAAGAAAAAAGAGAGAGCAAAGCTCAGTGGTCACCAGTGCCTGGGACCATCAAGGGGTTATTAAGGAGGAAGTTTCCACCTCTGTGGGGAACAGAAGAGGCTCCCTAGGGTCCACACACACAGGGAGTGAGCCAAGACTCTGGGCGAGGCTGGAAGCTCTGGGTCTCCTTCTGTGAGATTTTCTTTTTTTTTTTTGAGATGGAGTCTTGCTCTGCCACCCAGGCTAGAGTGCAACGGCGCGATCTCGGCTCATGGCAACCTCTGCATAAAGTGGTATGTATTTAAGGCATGCATTAGACAAATTACTAAGTATTTACTAGATAAGAAAAAATTATATCTGAATCTTTTCAAATTGCCGTCTTATGCATTATATTCTCTTTTTATAGTGCAATTTCTTAATAGTTAATGCCAGAAGATTTTTTTTTCTTCCTTTCTTTCTTTCTTTTTTTTTTTTTTTTGAGACAGAGTCTCACTCTGTTGCCAGGCTGGAGTGCAGTGGCACGATCTCGGCTCACTGCAACCTCCGTCTCTCGGGTTCATGCCATTCTCCCGCCTCAGCCTCCTGAGAAGCTGGGACTACAGGCACCCTCTACCATGCCCAGCTATTTTTTTTTTTTTTTTTGTATTTTTAGTAGAGACGGGGTTTCACCATGTTCGCCAGGATGATCTCTGTCTCTTGAACTCGTGATCCACCTGCCTTGGCTTCCCAAAGTGCTGGGATTACAGGCATGAGCCACTGCACCTGGTCGCCAAAAGATATTTTTAAAAACCTAAATGCCACTTGAAATGAATAAGACCCTCAATAATTCATGGGATATACATGTGAACTTATGACATATGATGAAATAAGCAGGTTACAAAATTGTAATATATCAAGCAAGGTAGAAAGCCATGGCAGAAAAAGAGACAAGCATTTTCAAGATAAGGAATGAAAGAGGGGAAACAGTACTATTGATTTTACAGATTTTACAAAGATATCTTAGGTGTGTTTTCCTAAATAATAAATGTACCCTCCTTTTGACCTTTATGTAATGAAATAACCATGCACACATTTTCAAATAATACTTCATTTACTTGACTTTATGCTTGAAAATTGAAGTATGGTGCTGTTTGTTATTTTCATTTATGCATTTTACTACCTTGTAATATTCCACTGAGTCTATTTACCACACTATGTTTATTTTTTTCGTAGGTGGACTTTGGTATTTTATAGCTTTGGCTAATAGGAACAGCATTCCTATAACAGTTGTGAGTGTATCATGACACATAAGTAGACATTTATCTCTAGGGTACATAATTAAGTACATAATTAAGAAGGGTCACAGCCATGTGCCTCCTCTTTTTAACTAGATAATTCCAATACACTTCCTTAATTGATTAAAGCAATTTGTACTCTTACTATTAATGTACTAAAATTCTACATGTTCAATATTCTTTCCAAAAAATGATTTTGCTACTTTTTTCTTTTCTTGAGACTGAGTCTTGCTCTATCACCCAGGCTGTAGTGATCTCGGCTCACTGCAACCTCCGCCTCCTGGGTTCATGCGATTCTCGTGCCTTGGCCTCCCAAGTAGCTGGGATTACAGGCAGGCGCCACCATGTCTGGCTAATTTTTGTATTTTTAGTAGAGACAGCGTTTCACCATGTTGGCCAGGCTGGTCTCGAACTCCTGACCTCAGGTGATCCTCCTGCCTCGGCCTCCCAAAGTGTTGGGATTACAGGCATGAGCCACCACACCCGGCCTATTTTTTTCTTTTCCCTCCATTGTGCTATGATTTTTGACATTACAATTTTACTGAAACTACACCATAAGAATGAAGCAGAAATTATTATAACCTTTAAATAAACTTTACAACTGGTTCATACTCGTGTGAACGACAATTCTTTTGACTACTTCCCAACTGTGCATTCAATGGCGTCATATGGGCACCCTGAAGTTGGCCATAAAGGACGTATTTATACCACACTAATCAGCAAATACCATAAATCTGGGGCTTTATATGTTCAGAGTTTTCTTAAGAAAATAATTTTTTCAGAGAGCCAGTTTAACAGAATACCATGAGGCTGAGCCTTCGAGCGTTAGTGTGCTCATTCTGAGAGATGATATTTCTGGACAAAGTACACAGGTATCATCCGATGAAGAGTGAAGGGAATTCAGGGTCCAGAGAGGGTGCTAGGGCATCATTTCAGACTCATATTTCCCTTTTTTTTTTTTTTTTTGGAGATGGAGTCTTGCTCTGTTGCCCAGGCTGGAGTGCAGTGGCAAGATCTTGGCTCACTGCAACCTCCGCCTCCCGGGTTCAAGCTATTCTCCCGCCTCAGCTTCCTGAGCAGCTGGGATTACAGGTGCTCACTGCCACACCCAGCTAATTTTTGTATCTTTTAGTAGAGACAGGGTTTCACCATGTTGGCCAGGTTGGTCTCGAACTTCTGACCTCAAGTGATCCGCCCACCTCAGCCTCCCAAAGTGCTGGGATTACAGGTGTGAGCCACTGTGCCTGGCCTCAGACTCATGTTTCAAAGTCCCAAATACAAATCTGCCCACCTATTCCAGTTATTTAATCCAGATCTATGCTCAGAACTGAAAAGATGGAGAATCAATAGTTCACTTTAGAGAATGCGGTAGTTGGAAACAAAGACAAATGTATTACATGACAGTGGACCAGAGCACGTGATCGCAGGGGTGTGGATGCAAACCCACCATGGGGGACGTGCCTTCACATCACAGAGAGCGAAAGGAAGGGAGGGGCAGACACGGAGGATCCACAACAGCAGGACTGAAAGCACTGCCATTTAATGGAAGTTTAATGGAGGAAGCGTTCTCTACAGGCACCCAGACATCTTCCTGAACCTGACCCAAGCCTCCCCTTCTCGACTTTCTCAGTAGACGGTTTCCCGAATGATGGTCCAGACTTTCTTCCAGAACCTCCTAGGACTATCAGATTCATTGCCAAGGCTCTGGCACTCTGAAGGGTGCATTGTTCTCTCATGTATTTACCTCCTTGCTGCATCTTGGGGACTTCTCTAGCTGTGCCAGTCCTAAAGCAGCAGAATCCCGAGGACCACCAGGACCAAGCCAGCCACAGCCACGCGGATGAGATTCTCCACTGTGTAATCCTGGGGGTGTGAGGCTGGGGATGGTGGACCAAGAGGTCTCAGAGGTCAGGGCAGATCAACATCACCCGGGACCCCTGGATGTCCACCCAGGGCACCCACCTCCCCTTCACAGGACCTGACCCTCTGTGCCAGCCCCATAACCGAGAGCATCTCCTTACACACCAGTCTTGGAGTCTGTCTTGTTTTGCGATGGGCTGAGGGTCTCAGCTGCTCCTGAGAATCAACCAAAAAAGGGGGAGGTGTGTGAGGAGTTGAAGAGACTTAAGCCAACATGTCCCTCAGTTGCTGCATTCCTTTGTGTCTACACTTCTCCTAACTGCTCTGTAGTTGTGTGATAGAACCTTTCCCTGCCGTGGCAGAGGTACATTCGCATACATACATACATATATGCATAGGTGTAAATATGTGTGTATACATAATATGTGTTATGCATATGTGTATACATAATATGTATTATGCATATGTGTATAGATAATATGTATTATGCATATGTGTATGCATAATATGTATTATAAGATATAGTGTGAGTATATATAAATATATAATATATAAGATATATAATAGTGTGTGTATACATATAAATATATAATAAGATATGTAATAGTGTGTGCATATATAAATATATAATATATAATAAGATATATAATAGTGTGTATATATAAATATATAATACATAATATATTATAAGATATATAATAGTATGTATATATAAATATATAATACATAATATATAAGATATATAATAGTGTGTGTATATATAAATATATAATACATTATATATTATAAGATATATAATAGTATATATAAATATATAGTACATAATATATAATAAGATATATAATAGTGTGTGTATACATATAAATATATAATAAGATATGTAATAGTGTGTGCATATATAAATATATAATATATAATAAGATATATAATAGTGTATATATATAAATATATAATACATAATATATTATAAGATATATAATAGTATGTATATATAAATATATAATACATAATATATAAGATATATAATAGTGTGTGTATATATAAATATATAATACATTATATATTATAAGATATATAATAGTATATATAAATATATAGTACATAATATATAATAAGATATATAATAGTGTGTGTATACATATAAATATATAATAAGATATGTAATAGTGTGTGCATATATAAATATATAATATATAATAAGATATATAATAGTGTATATATATAAATATATAATACATAATATATTATAAGATATATAATAGTATGTATATATAAATATATAATACATAATATATAAGATATATAATAGTGTGTGTATATATAAATATATAATACATTATATATTATAAGATATATAATAGTATATATAAATATATAATACATAATATATAATAAGATATATAATAGTGTGTGTATATATAAATATATAATACATAATATATATTATAAGATATAATAATGTGTGGGTAATATAAATATATAATACATAATATATAAGATATATAATAGTGCATATATAAATATATAATACATAATATATATTATAAGATATAATAATGTGTGGGTATATATAAATATATAATACATAATATATATTATAAGATATAATAATGTGTGGGTATATATAAATATATAATACATAATATATAAGATATATAATAGTGTATATATAAATATATAATACATAATATATATTATAAGATATATAATAGTGTGTGAGTATATATAAACACATACATATATATTTGAAGTGAGAAGAGTATTATATAATTTAGAAACAAACAAGTTTGTCCTCCATTTTCTTGTGGTTAATGTAATTATTATCAATAAATCAGAAGAGATCATTTCGGAAAGGATTGAAAGGGAGTGTGTCTGTGGTAAGTTAATAGGAACTAAAATTAGCATACCCAAACCAATAGCTTTCTCATCCATACGTAACTAATTTTAGAAAATAGAAAGGAATCAAAGACTTTCAAATTATTCAAGTAGTAAAACAATGCTTAAAATTCACAATGTCCACAATTTTTATGAATACAACTTCAAGCATCTGCTAACTGTATAAAGTTTAATTTTAAATGTATTGGATACAAAGACATTATTAATGAGAAGTTATTCTCCATCATGAATGCACATATTTAATTTAATCCCAAAGAAAATCAGAGCACAGTTATTTTACATCATAACGCTACCTAACAAATTAAATGTGTAAATTATAAATGCCAGCATTGCTTTGAAATCTTCAGAAACAGAAAGAGAAACTAGATATGTGGACATAAAAAATAAAGGACAGAAAGGAATTGCACACGAGGTTTGCTGTTGAATAATTTGCCTGCATTGCTGCAGTGAGCAGGTGCATGATCTCCCCTTCGTCTCAGGTATGCACTGAGTATTTTGGGGCCGCCAGGGGAGCCCAGGTGGGGAGTGGGTGGGGCCTCCATCTTCTACCCTCAGCCTAAGCATGATTCCTCCAAGGTTTCTCCATATCTCATTTCAGCCCTCCCTGGCCTTTAGCCCCATCTGAGGTCTCTGGGGTGGGAGCCCAGGATTAGGAGGTCCCTGACTATTTCCACCCTCTCATGGGCTGGGCCCTCCCCTGCCGACCCTCCCCCTTTACTCCCCTCTTTCCTTAGCGTCCTGAGCTCTCCTGGGGGCAGGGCCTGAGCTGAGGTTTGAGCTCAGAGAGGACAGGGTCAGCGGCCTCACCTGAGACCACGAGCTCCAGGGGGTCACTGGGGTGAGACAGCAGGTAGGGGAAGAATCTGCGTGAGCTGTAGCACCTGTAGGTCCCCGCGTGGGCTGAGGTCACAGGACTCATGGGGAATTCAGCCTGGTGCTGCTGAGCTTGGTGCTCTGATCTCAGACGCAGTGGGTGATGGGCTGCCCCCTCCTTGGTCAGAAGGAAAGTGTCCAACTGCTCCCGTGACTGACACAGCAGGGTCACGTTCTCTCCTGAGGCCACCGTGGGGCCCGGCTGCACCGAGAGGGAGGGTCTGCCACGGATCTGTCCTGGAGAGAAGAAGGATGGGTGAGGGGCTGCCCCACCTCGTTCTGAGCTGACACCTCCCCAGGCCTCTCCCTGGGACCCTCAGTGTCTCTGTCTCTGTTTTCTCTGAGTCTCCCCCTCCCCGCCCATCCCCTGTCTCTGTCTGTCTCTCCGTCCCTTAGGACCCCCACCCCTCATCCCGGCCATCACCACCTGGGCTCCCCCAGCAGGGCCTGTGCGGAGCCTGGGTCCCTGACTGAACCTGCTGGGCTCCTCACCTGCGATCAGGATGCTCAGGGGGTCACTGGGGGCCGACCACTCGGAGGAGAGGTTGTGTGCACCGTAGCATCTGTACTGGCCCCCGTGGGAGACCCTCACAGGGCCCAGGGTGAAGTTGGCCTGGGAGAGCCCAGCCTGGGGCTGCCGGCCAGAGCCCTGGACGAGGTCATGTCCCCCCTCCTTGTACAGAGTGAATTTGTCATAGCCGACATCAGAGCCACACTGGAGGGTCAGATTCTCCCCAGGGGCCACGACAGGGCCCTGCAGGGTCAGGAGGGAGGGCTTCCTAGACACGCCTGGAGGGAAAGAAGAGTCGGGACTAGGAGGGCTGGTTCCTCCCACACCCCTTCCTTCTCCCCTCCTGGCCCTGCAGGTCTCACTGTCTCTCACACTCAGTGTCTCTGGGCTCAGGAGTCCCAAACTTCCCTTGTTCCACCCTCCTACATGGGGCTCCGTGAGAGTAAGTTCTCAAAAATAAATAGGGCAAGGAGGAAGACATCCATACCTAAGACCAGGATCTCCATGGTATCACTGGGTTCCGACCACACCCAGGGGAAGTTCGTGTAATGCCCATAGCATCTGAACATCCACCGGTGACTGGCAGCCACACGGCCCACAGGGAACAGGGCCAGGGACAAGGGACAGCCCCTTGGAGAGTTCCTGTGAGTCCAGCATCCAGGAGAGCTTGTTTTCTCCTTCCTCAATCAAAATGAACCTGTGAAATCCCACCCTTGAGCTACACTGGATGGTCACGTTCTCTCCTGAGGTCACCACAGGGCTCGGCAGGGCTGAGAGAGTGGGTTTTCTGTGGGCTCCTAGGAGAGAAGGAGACACTGTCTTAAATGGGGCTCACGCGTCCCACATCATCCCCCAGGGCTGAGTTATTAGAACGGAGATGCCCTTGAGAGCTGACCCCCTTCCTGCAGGCAGAGCCTGGGGCTGGGACCCCTGAGTGTCCTCTTACCTGTCACCACCAGCTCCAGGGGCTCGCTGCGCTCTGACCAGCCTGCAGGGCTGAGATAGTGACAGTGGTATCTCCCTGCATGGTGCTCTCTCATGGATGGGATGAAGAAGTTGGTCTTGTTCCTGGGCTCTGGTGGGCTCTGTTGGTACCAGGTCATGGGGTTTCCTTCCTTGGTGAGATAGTAACCCTGGGTATCCAGGGTCCCCTGGCACCAGAGGGTCATGGGGCTCTCCCAGGTAATCACAGAGCCTGGCTCAGCCCAGAGGCTGGGTTTGGGGAGGGTCCCTGGAAGAAACCACAGGCTGGGGTCCACAGACCTCCCCCGCTCCTCATTCCCAGCTCAGGTCACAGACCCTCTTGATTTTCTCACCCTCAGTTCAGAAGCCCCTGAGATGAGAGTCCAGGTGCTGAGTGTGAGGTCAGGCATGGGAGGTTAGCAGAGACTCACCTGCAAGTGCTTGGGCTTTCTGGCCCAGACTCAGCCATGGAGAAGAGTTTCCTGTGGGGGATTTGGAACACAGAGGTGTGGCTGCTTCCCTTCCTGTTGGAGCACCAGTAGCCACTGGAGCCCTGAGGCTCTCTGGTGAACAAGGCTGCTGTGGGACCCTCCCCACCTCAGCCCAGTGCCCCTCCTGTCCCTCGTCTCTCCACCACTGACTGAGGCACAGAAGAACAGTGAGGATGGACACCATGATGCCTGCTCTGCGTGCTCCAGCTGTGGGACAGGTGACCACATGGCCCTCCATGACAGACAGATGCACGGATGTGGTTAAGTCAGAGCCTGCTGCCGCCTGCCTGGGTCCCCACAGCTGTGAACCCACAGGAAGTGGACAGCCCCTTGCTGGGCCTGTCTCTTATTCCCCCCCCAGTGCAGGGGCTCAGGAGGACCCAGGCCCTCTGCACACATCTCAGCCCAGACCTGAGGTGTCCCCTGATTGCCAGGGATCCTTTGTCTGAAAACCTGCCCGTGGAGGGTGGACCCAACATCATATCTATGTCAGCTCCCAACTTAGCTGGGTCTAAACTGAAAACACAGCCCTTATTTTCTCAGAGCCTCCACTCATGACATCGGCTTTCTTTTTCCCCACTGATGCAAAGACAAATATTTCCCAGCAGAAAGTCATCCTGATCTGGAGAGACCCATTTCCTGCGTTCAGTAAATAAAGTCAGTTTCATTAGGGGAGGCTCTGGGAAAATAAGGGGATGCAGACTAGCAGAAGATGAACATTTAGCTACTTGTTTCTCAATTAATTGATTTATTACCAAAGAGAGAGAAGTGGAAACATGAGAATAGGGACCATGACTAGAATGTGGTTGAGGGAATGGTTTCTATCTTATTCCCTGGCAGAGAACTAAGGGATAAGAATGAGAAAGCTGGCTGGGTGCAGTGGCTTACACCTGTAATCCCAGCACTTTGGGAGGCCGAGGCAGGAAGATCACAAGGTCAGGAGTTCAAGACCAGCCTGACCAACATGGTGAAACCCCTGTCTCTACTAAAAATACAAAAACTAGCTGGGTGTGCTGGCATGCGCCTGTAATCCCAGCTACTAGGGAGGCTGAGGTGGGAGAATCGCTTGAACCTGGGAGGTGGAGCTTGCAGTGAGCCGAGATCGCGCCACTGCACTCCAGCCTGGGCAACAAAGCCGGACTGTCTCAAAAAAAAAAAAAAAAAAAAAAAAAAAGAAAGAGAGAAAACCCAGCAGTGAGAGGTAGTTGTGAGAACACACTAAAGAGGAAAGATAATCCAGGGCTGGGAGTGGTGGCTCATGCCTGTAATTCCAGCACTTTGGGAGGCTGAGGCTGGCAGATCACAAGGTCAGGAGTTCGAGACCAGCCTGACCAACATGGTGAAACCCTGTGTCTACTAAAAATGCAAAAATTAGCTGGGTGTGGTGGTGGGTGCCTGTAATCCCAGCTACTCAGGAGGCTGAGGTGGGAGAATCGCTTGAACCCAGGAGACGGAGGTTGCAGTGAGCTGAGATTGCACCACTGCACTCCAGCATAGGCAACAAAGCCAGACTCTGCCAAAAACAAAAACAAAAACAAAAACAAAAACAAAAAACAAGAAAGCTCAGTGAGAGGTGGTTGTGAGAACACACTAAAGAGGAAAGATCATTCAGGGCTGGGAGTGGTGACTCACGCCTGTAATCCCAGCACTTTGGGGGGCCACAGGCGGGTGGATTACCTGAGGGCAGGAGTTCAAGACCAGTCTGGCCAACATGGTGAAACCTCGTCTCTACTAAAAATACAAAAACTAGCTGGGTGTGATGGCGGGTGCCTGTAATCCCAGCTACTTGAGAGGCTGAGTCAGGAGAATCTCTTGAACCCAGGAGGCAGAGGTTGCAGTGAGCTGGGATCGTGCCACTGTACTCTAGCCTGGGTAACAGAGCAAGGCTCTGTCTCAAAAAAATAAAAATTAGAAAGAAAAAAGGAGAAGGAGAAGAGGAAGGAGACAGAAAGGAGAGAAACATCCCTGAGGTGGAACATTACATGCAACATGGAGTAGGCAGGGAATCCGATAGAGCACTGAAACTCTCGCTGGGTACGGTGGCTAACATCTGTACTCCCAGCACTTTGGGTGGCCGAGGTGGATGGATCACCTGAGGTCAGGAGTTTAAGACCAGCCTGACCAACATGGTGAAACCCCATCTCTACTAAAAATACAAAAGGCTGGGTGTGGTGGCTCACGCCTGTAATCCCAACACTTTGGCAGTCTGATACAGGCGGATCACATGAGATCAGGAGTTTGAGACCAGCCTGGCCAAGATGGCAAAACCTCATCTCTACTAAAAATACAAACATTACCTGGCTGTGGTGGCAGTCGCCTGTAATCCCAGCTATGCAGGAGGCTGAGGCAGGAGAATCGCTTGAACCTGAGAGGTGGAGGTTGCAGTGAGTCAAGATCGTGCCATTGCACTCCAGCCTGGCCAATAGGAGCAAAACTCCATGTGAAAATAAAATAAAATAAAATAAAATATAATAAAATAAAATAATAAATCAAAAAAGGACTGGACATCTCCTGTGGGTTGTCAGTGAATGGAACTAAGCAAGCCACCGCTCTTTCCCTTTTGTCCCGCAAGTGTCTTTCTTGGCCTCCAGGAAGTGAGTTCCATCATGTCAGACCCTATGTTTGTTCCTGCTGGGTTCACTGAGGCTCCTCCCTTTCCACCTGTGGCTCCCCATGGGTTCCCAGTCCCCAGCCAGTGTTGTGAATCGAGCCAGGAAGACCAGCCCTATCACACCCCTCCTGATGGAATTCCCACAGTGTCATCCTGGAGAACAGGGGCTGGGGGCTGGGGTAGGATCAGAGACCTTTTCATGTGGGCCAGGCCCCTCCCTCCACAGGAGCTCTGACACGAAGCTCATCACCATTCATTTCACCCTGACGATATTCTTCCTGCCCAGACACCCCCGTTCTCCCTATGTCATCATGGGCACCTCAGTGAAATCCATGGTTGAGGGTCTCTGTCACTTACTCTGCCCTCTTCTTGGAAAATTTCCTTGGATCCTTCCAGAGCCCTTCCTGAGTGTGCTGCAGGGTCTCTGCCACATGACACACTCTCAGGAACCCTCATCCTCCCCTTAATCTACTGCGCCCACATAGCCAGGTGCAGGCTCCGTTTCTTCATCTTCCCTTCCCCACAGGCCCCGATGGAGAGTGGATTAGACTCGCTCCTGAGTAGGGACTCAGGTCACTCTGACCCCTTCCTCCCTGTGGACGAGGCCTCTGTCCCAGAGCTTTGGAGGCTGAAGGGCCTTGTGGATTCCCGCACTGGCCACAGTCTCCGATGCAGATGGGGAACTGGGGACCTGGGAGGGGTTGCCTAGCCCAAGGCCACATAGCTGGGCGGTGGCACAGCCTTCACTCACACAGGGACATTCCATCTTCCCAGGGACTTCACACTGGAGGCTAAGAGCCCCACTTTGCACACCACATTCAGGGGTAGATTCTGTGTGTGACTAACAAGTTCTCTTAGGGTTCCGAGGTAACAGGACAGCAAATGGATGAGTGAGAGTTTCCCTCACCCCACTGAAGTAGGACCATTCTCTGTGGAGGGTTGGTCCCCTGACTTCCTCTACTCTGTCATCTCCCTAGTGACTGATAGGGGTCCTGGGGTCTCTTCCCTGGAATCCCATGAGGGACAATTCCTTTCCTGAAGGGAAGGTATAGAGAGGACTAGCAGGTGCCTGGTGATGGAAAGTCCCCATAATCAAGAGACATTGCCTCCCCCCCCCGGCATGATAAATATCTGGGTTTCCAAATGGGAAATCTGTCTGTGATGAGAGCTCAGGAGGGGCTTCTGGAAGATGGAAAAGGGCTAGAGGCTGAGGCCACTGCTTATCTCCCCACACTGTATCTGGCTTCACCTCCTGTGTTTGTCCTGACCTCTTCCTTCACTCACCTGGATAAGTAGGACCCCAAAGTGGGCCTCCAGACAGGAAGCAGTGGAGAGTGTGGAGCTGCCCTGTCTACCACCCTACACCCTGACACCACTGTCATACTCAACCTCTCTTTTCCTCTTTGTGTTTCTCATTGCTTCATTTTGTCTGGAATCCCTAAGATTCCCATGTCTCCAGCAGGCTGTCCCTCAGACGTGGCTATATGATTTAGTGTTTCACAGGGCATGCAGCAGGCATGGGCTACCCCCAGTAACAGTGGTCATCTAGGGCTGATCACTCACAGGCAGAGCCATCGACAGAGAGCTGCAGCATCTAGAGGTCCCATCACCAGCCCCAAGACCCAGAGAGAAGTTGGCCTGAATGCCCCACTCTGTCTCTGCACCCCAGTGAGCCAGTGTCCAGGGGCCTTACCTTCCTCGTTAGAAGGCACAGGTCAAATGAGCTTCCAGAGCTGCAGAGCAAAGTCACATTCTCTCCATCATTACTTACTGCAGGGCACAGTTGAGCTGAGAAGGAAGGTCTCTTGTAGACGCCTGGGGAAAAAAATAGTCCTTGACTGTCGAGCACAAGCCTTACCCAGCCTATCCTCAGGGCATGAAAAAGGCATTCTCTCCACCTGTTCTGGGGAGCACACTCTGTTACCCACTCGTGCCTCTCTCCATCTCAGTTCTAGCTCTACAAGCTGGCTCATCATGTGTGTGTTTTCCTGTCTGTCTTTGCTCAGCTTTTCCTTGAATCTCTTGCTTTTTGCCGGTGCGTGTGTGGCTTTCTGCCCTTAGAACCATATGAGATTTAGGGTTCTCCTGGCACATAGAACTGTTTACTTTGAGGACCCTCAGAAAACATAGCCCTGGGCTAAGGCTCCCTGTCCTGGAACTAGAAGGTTATGGGTGTCACCATTTCCCAACAGCATGTCTGAAAGTGCCAGAATCTTCAAAGAGTCTGCAACATGTTTGTAGGATCTTTATAGGGTCTGATATTGCAGGGACCAACCAAAGTGCCCTCACACCCCAAGACGCTGGAAGTGACCCCTTGCTGAAAGTGGTTGGAAGTTTCACATAGAAGTTTGAGTTAAGCCACATTGCTGAGCAATGCCTCAGCATCCCAGTCTTCATCCAGACCTTCCAGGAGCCTGGCTGGAGGGGGTGTCTCTGGTGTGTCACTGAGCCTTATAGCAGAGGAAGGGGGCTATGGTGGAAACTACCTCCAAGATACCACTCAGTCCTAAGCTGGGGAACAAGCTGAGCTTGGATTCTGGTAGTGAATGAACCGGGAAACATTTATTTGAAGGGTTCTAAGAGTAGCATCGTGTGGGTGCGTTAATTGTATGTGAAGGGGAAGATCCTGAGAAAACAAGAGCTGCTCCACTCTGTGCCTGGGTTTACCAGAGGGACCGATGAGGTCCTCACAAGACCCAGGAATCCCACCGGGGGAAGGAGGCTTAGGGAGATGTGTTTAAGACTGTTAAGTGAGTCACAGACAGAAGCAGATCAAGCCATCCCACCACCTAGGTTTGTGGTTTTGTTTCTCCTAAACTTCCTTTCTGTAAGTAGCAGAACCTTCTCATCACCATCCTTCAAAACCTCTGCATTGTTTGAGCTCCTTGTATTTTCTGGAGATTAATCTCTTGCTTGCAAATATTCTTTCCCATTCTGTAGGTGGTCTCTTCACTCTGCTGTTTGTTTCCTTGATTGTGCAGAAGGTTTGCAGTTTGCTATGATCTCATTTGCCTATTTTTGCTTTTGCTGCCTGAGCTTTTGAGGGTTTTTTTTTTTTGTTTTTTTTTTTGAGACGGAGTCTCGCTCTGTCACCCAGGCTGGAGTTCAGTGGCATGATCTCAGCTCATTGCAACCTCCGCCTCCCGGGTTCAAGTGATTCTCCTGCCTCAGCCTCCCTAGTAGCTAGGACTACAGGCGAGTGCCACCACACCCGGCTAATTTTTGTATTTTTAGTAGAGGCAGGGTTTCACCACGTTTGGCCAGGCTGGTCTCAAACTCCTGACTTCAAGTGATCCACCCACCTTGGCCTCCCAAAGTGCTGGGATTACAGGCGTGAGCCACTGCGCCCGGCGTTGTATTGGATTTTTAATTCAGCCCTATTTTCTCCGACATTTGATATTGGCATTTTTGTCTTTTTTGGATATGCTAGGATCATGGTGTCATAATTTAATTTTAATTTTTATTTTTATTTTAAGTTCCGGGGTACATGTGCAGAATGTGTGGGCTTATTGCATAGGTCAATGTGCGCCATGGTGGTTTCCTGCACCTGTCAACCCATCACCTAGGTATTAAGCCCAGCATACATTAGCTATTTTTCCTAATGCTCTCCCTACCCCTACCCCACCCCCCCCCCGACAGGCCCCAGTGTGTGTTGTTCCCCTCCCTGTGTTCACGCATTCTCATTGTTCAGCACCCACTTGTAAGTGAGAACATGCAGCGTTTGATTTCCTGTTCCTGTGTTAGTTTCCTGAGGATAATGGTTTCCAGCTCCATCCATGTCCCTGCAAAGGACATGATCTTGTTTCTTTTTATGGCTTCATAGTATTCCGTGGTGTATATGTCTCACATTTTCTTTATCCAGTCTATCATTGATGGGCATTTGGGTTGATTCTATGTCTTTGCTATTGTGAATAGTGCTGCGATGAACACATGTGTGCATGTATCTTTGCAATAGAATGATTTATATTCCTTTGGGTATACGCGCAGTAATGGGACTGCTTTTACCTGTGCCAAAATACTGAAGTAGAAATGATTATTCACTCTAAAATGGAAGGTAATAAGATGTATACGTGAGCTATCAGATGCCTGGTGCTTATGAGTGAAGACAAGTCTGTCCAACGCTTCCCAACCCTGCATTCAGGGATGTCTCGTTGGCATCTTGATTATGGCCATGAAAAAAGAATTTACGTCAAGGAAATTGGTAAATGCCACTAATCATAGCATTTCAAAAAATGTCTTTTTCAGAATTAGCATACCATTGGGTCGTGACTTCAAATGCCAGTGTGTTGATTCCAGGTGGTGATATTTCAGGAGAAACTACACAGATAGCATCTGATAAGGAGGGAAGAGCTCATAGGGTCCACACAGGAGGTGAGGGCATCACGGTGCATTTATCTTTTCCTGGTCGGACTCTGATCTTCTCCCGTTGAATTAGTTCCTAAACCAGGTGCGGAACTCTGAACTGAAGACATGAAGACCCAGTAAAGTACACCAGGAAGTGTGGCAATGAGAAATGAAGAGGACTGTGTGACACGCCATGGACCAGAGCATGCAGGTGTGCAGAGGTGTGGACCCAACGCTGCCATGTGGGATGGAGCCTCATGTCTAAGTGTGGGAAAAGAGGCAGATCCAACCAAGGAAAGTCAACATTAATGGAGAGGAAAGGTATCACATTTTAATGGTTCTCCATGGATCACCCCAGAAAATGTCCCTGCACTCGGACATTGATTCCTTCCTCTGGAAATGACCAGCAGACAGTCCAGATAGCATCGGCCCTAGATTTTCTTCCAGAACCTCCTGGGATCATCAGATCTGTTCCTGAGGCTTCACGACTCTATAAAGTACATTATCCTCTCTGCTGTTCACCTCCCGGCTGCATCTTGGGAAGCTTCTCTGGCTGTGCCAAGCCTCAAATGACAGAATCCCGAGGACCACCAGGATCAAGCCAGCCACGCCCATGTGGATGAGATTCTCCACTGCGTAATCCTGAAGGTGTGAGGCTGGGGATGGTGGACAAAGAGGTCACAGAGGTCAGGGTGGATCAGATTGTCCACCCAGGGCACCCACCTCCCCTTCACAGGACCCAACCCTCAGTGCCAGCCCCATCACTGAGAGTATCTCCTCACATACCAGTCTCAGAGTCAGACTTGTTTTGTGATGGGCTGAGGGTATCAGCTGCTCCAGAGAATCAAAACAGAGAAAAAGAGACCTGAGCCCAGCCTCTCACCTGGGCTCTGCAATTTTTTTTTTATTACTTAATGTCTCATGATGTGACTTTTACAGAATTTCTAAAAAAAAAAAAAAAAAACCTCTTCCTCCGCTAGCAGGATTCCCTCTAGTCTCCTCATTGAACGATTTCAGTTTTCCTGTGTTCTATGGATTTAAACATTGCTCCTGAGTCATCTGGGAGAGAGTTTTCCTGCATCCTGAGAGCTCAGGATCTGCAAGGAAAGTGGTCCCCAGTACAGAGGTCACTAAGGCCTGTGTGCTCTCTGTGCAGCCTGGGACACAGGAGAACATGAGCCAACTCCCCCGGAGATGAGAGTTTCACGGATCCACCAGCTGAGGACCCAGGCTCCGTGGATGAGGGTTAGTCATCAGGGGAGCCTCAATGTCAGAAGCACAAAGGGGTGAAATTCTGGGGCTGCCTCCCCTTCATGCCCTCAGCCACTTCACCTGGAGTTTCATTGTCCATTTAATCTCTAGGTAGCTAATTATTCGTATAGGCAGCAACAGGTAGAATGTGATACACACACAGAAAAACACAAACACAAATATATATCTGTTTTATATATATAGTGGGCCTTAAAAACTATCTCTGCCTTCTTGAAGTGTGGGTTCACCTGGAGACAAACAGCAAACATATAGAAACACAGCAGTGGAAATTTACTAGTCGTAGCAATGGTTTTAGATATATTGGTAGAGACCTATATTTATGTGTGAATATATATTATTTGTATAGATATACGGATAACTAGGTTTCAATGTCACGTAAGATGTTGGTGTGACCACACACGCGCACACACACACACACACGTATATGCAGAGAGTGGAAGAGAGAGAGAAGGAATTCAGCCGCATGGTGTAGGTTGGTTAATTACTTGACATAAATGAGAAGCAGGCAGGACTGGGCTGAGCTGTGTCGTCAGTGAAGGTCACACTTGGAGGTGACATTGAAGCTGATTCCTCAATAGGAAAAAGGGCCAGGAAGGAGGCGTGTGGAGACCCAGACAGGGAGCAACAGAGGCTCCAGAAAGAGCAGGTCCCAGAAAGGTCTCAGCCTGTTCTTCAGAAAGGAATGGCCGCTTGTCTACAGGGTGGAGGAGGAGGCAGAGGAGGAGGGGAGATGAGCTTCGGGGCCTTGGTGGATTGAGAATAGGCCAGGATGAACCGGCCAGGAAAGAGCGGCCCCAATATCTCTCTCTCTGTCTCTCTGTCTCTGTCTCTGCCTCTCTCTCCCTCCCTCTGAGGTCTGGAAAGTGCTGTAGGGTTTCAAGGAGTGGTACCAGTCATTTGACTTTTTCTGAAAAGATAAGCCCTACCCCCTCCATAGCAAATGTCCAGAACGAAGGAAGTCCACATTTCTACCTGAAGTTTACAAAACCTCAGGGAGCACGTGAGATCAGGGCTATTACGAAACCGGGTGAGAATAAAAATAGGTGATGCTGCAAATCTACTTTCACCAGCTTGGACAAAAAGGCCAATATGAGATTTTAAAAACCCAAATAAAAAATGTCAACGGCGCAGAAGAGGAGCGGTGCACATTCCCTGAGCTGCTGCGGGAGCACGTGCAAGTCCCTGTGAGGCTCAGGTGTGCGCTGAGTGCTGGGGAGGCTGCAGGGGAAAGCAGGAAGTGGGGCGGGGTGGGGGGGGGTCGGGGGTGGATGCAGGTGGCACCGGCAGCCTGGATGCTTCTCTCTCCAGGAGGGCGTCTGTTGGGGACTGGGACACAGAGGCTCTGATTCTGAGGTGGAGACACCAGGATGGGAGCAGGTGGGGCCTCCGTCTTCCACCCTCAGTCTAATCTCAACTCCTTTGAGGTTCACCCCCCGTCTCCTCCCAGCCCTCCCTGCACTTTACTCTACTGAGACTTCAGGGGTGGGAGCCAGGGGTGGGAGGTCCCTGTCTATTTCCATCTTCCCATGGGCTGGACCCTCCCCTGCGGACCCTCTCCCTTCACTCCCCTCTTTCCTTAGTGTCCAGAGCTCTGCTGGGGGCAGGGCCTGAGCTGAGCCTTTGAGCTCAGAGAGGACAGGGTCAGCGCCCTCACCTGAGACCACGAGCTCCACGGGGCCACTGGGGTGAGACAGCAGGTAGGGGTCGGAGCTGAGTGAGCCGTAGCACCTGTAGGTCCCCGTGTGGGCTGAGGTCACAGGACTCATGGGGAATTC